>NC_000009.12:102766006-102917521 GCF_000001405.40 Homo sapiens
TCATGGCTATTCCTGTTGGAATACAAAAAAAAAAGCGAGAAAGAGAGAAGGATTTCACAAGTATCATTAAGCTAAGGATGTTGAAATGTGGACATTATCATATCTGGATAGGCCCTATGTAATTATAAAGATTCTTAAATGAGGGAGACAAGAGGGTCAAAATAAGAGAAGGGTATATGAAGACAGAATCAGAGGGTTAGAGAGATACAGTTGCTGACTTTGATGACAGAAGAGCCTCACAAGCCAACAAATGCAGGCAGTATCTAGGAGCTAAACAGTGTGATGAGTGCATTTTCCCCCAGAGCCTCCAGAAGGAATGCAGCCCTGCCAATATTTTGATATTAACCCGGTAAGACTTTTAATCTCCTGAACTATGAGAGAATACATTTGAGCTTTTTAACCCACTGATGTAATGTGCCACAGCAGCCACAGAAAACTAAGGTTTTATTCTCATTTATAATATTTGTCAGAATGTGAAAAAGAAATTTCAGGGGTTTAAGAATGAGGGGGTCTTAAGGCAGTCAGGGCCTTGAGTTTCAAAAACTTTTATAATGGAAGTTTTTGATATGTTTGAGAGGGAACCACTCAGAGTGTACATGATAAGATTAGAAGTATTGTGATGGCAAAATATAATACCAAGGACTATACAGATTTGTAAACGTCTAGAAGAGCCATCACCTGGTAATGTGAGCAGTTACATATACTATCCTCATCCATGGCATGCATTTATATTTGATTCTAGCACTTAATTGCAACCATGTAACCTTAAGATACATTTCAACCTTCCAGTCAAGGTAGCTGCTACTATTTTTTTTAAGTTGGAATATCTGTCATTCAGAATCCTCTTAGAAAAAAGAGAAATAACTCAAAGTATTTCTAACATAGGTAATTTAATGGAGAACTCGTCACACAAGTGATAGAAGAGCTGAGAAGATAAATGGGGATATTGATCATACTCAGAGATTAGCAATAGCAGAAAAACACTACATCTCCTAAGTTGCTAATACAAAGAGAAAATTGGAATTCCAAGGGCTGGGATCACCCCACAGGATTGTAACTACAGCTTGTCACCAGGGAGCTGAACAACCGCAGAAAACTTATTTGAGGGAGACTGAAGATGATGGCCTCACCTTTTCTGACCACCCTATCATCTGCTGCTATTGCCTCTCATTAACTCCAAACAAGATGGAAGCCAGCTAAAACTGCAGCCAAGGAAAACTAATAAGCAAAGGCCAGGCCCTCTGCTCGAAAAGGCAGAGCAAAGAGCGAGGAAGAAATTTGAGAGCAATTGGCTCTGCATCACTTAGCATGTGAAGTTAAGGGGAAAAAAAAAAAGCCCTTACACACACACACACACACACACACACACACACCTCTTGGCTATGTCAAGAAATGTTAAGGAGAACATTTTGAAATTAGAAATTTTGCCATTCTTTAAAAAGAGACACATTTTCCACGATGTGGGGATGATCAAAACTCAAAACTGAATTGTGTAAGATTCAGACCTTATGCAGGCATCCTTTTTATTTTGCTTGTCTGAAAAACATCAGCCAAGCAAAATAAAAAGTATAAAGCATACATCATGCACTGTAAAAATTTAAAAACTGCATTTCCTTTTATATTACCTCTCTATGTGGAATTAACAATGCTAACTCATAAAGTCAATTTACAAATTAGAAAGGTATGTAAAGACAGTTTTCCAAATGATTTTTTAAAATGAGAGTTTTGTGCAAACAATTGTTAAGATGTGCTGTTAGATTTATATAATAAAGTAGTACGATGTTGACTGGATATAGGCACAGTTGAGACATACTTTTTTATATTCGTGTATTTCAGATCCATCTAACATTGGTATTCATAAGGTAGAGATAAATGTTGGAATATTGATAGTTTTTTAAATTGTATATTATAAAGTTGATGATTTTATTAGGTGCATTTCTGTATTTCTACATATAATCATTTCAGGCTAAAAATTATCATTGACATTTTAAGTCAAAAGAGAAGCAAAATATATGCCAATTAGTAGTCAATAATAATTTTCCTCTAGCAGATTATAGTAAGTACCCAGTACAAAGATGATTGACTTCACACAAATAATCATCAAGGCATAATCTGTCTCTCAGCATTTATCAAGCTTTTCCCTCCCCAATTCATCAGAACTGTGACAGATTTTATGCCCATCTGTCATAATCAATTGAATCTTTTTCAGCCGACAGACTAAAGCACATGGGGGAATTTCTAGATGATATGATGGCCAGCACTCCCTTCTGTCAGGAAATTGCAAGGTAGATTGAATGATGATTTTTTTACCTATGACAAGGGACTGCATTTTGGTTCCTCAAAGCAACGAAATGGTATTTTTTGTCCTTATCCATTGTTTCGTCATGTTAGAAAATTTTCATATTTTATTTAAATATTATGCCATCTTTTGCTTTATTTTGGTTACAAGAATCTATCGTTTAATACATCTCTATGTAACACAGGTTAATCAGAACACTTCGACATATACTAGGAAGATAAAATTCTCAATTTCATTTCCTCAGTTTAACAGGAATGTATTGAGCTTCTGCAGTGTACTCATTTTTTATCTTAATCGGATCATAATCTGATAAGAAAAGTAAATATATAAACAAAGTATTACCATGCAGTGTAATACATGCAAAAATTGACCCAAGAACAAGGTTAGCATTTAGTAATTAGTAATGGGTAATCTACTGTGTGAATGGTGAGACAAGTCTTCATTAGAATCAAAACGTAAGCTTTTGAGGAAAGTGAGTTTCAATTTGATAATCAGAGTATAAGTGGTTTTACCACAGGAGTAAGAATATGTTTTCTACCTCATTTCCACAGCCACAGTAAGATTACACATGGAGATAAACCTCAGTTTTCAGTGGGAAATCCAGACATTTTCTTTGACATCAGAATTCAGCCAAATTCTGCTTTTGCCTTGGCTACAATATTTGGAGCTTCAAATAGAGGATAAGTTAAAGTAACATTTTTTTCCTGATATCCCTCAACATCGACTATTATTTAATTCATACCCAAGAAGATTTTTTGTGTACATAACGAGAGTAAGATGCAGAGACAATTCAGAGATAATTTTGTTATCATAAAGCTAATTGCTCCCTTACTTAATTTGCACCTCCAAGGTGTAAGGGCTAATCTTTCCTGACTAATTCTGCAAACCAACAAAAGCACAGAAAGGCATTAGAAAAGTATATCTCTATATATTTTTTTCATTAATATATATCTTTCATTCATATATATCTTAGTATATATATTCATATAACAGTGAATTTGCATTACCACTGTTGTCTGAATCTCTTAAGTCCTTACAGTTCTTAAGTTCTAGGGTGAACAAGATACCAGATAAATATTTTCACTTCAGTCAATTTATACTAGAGATGAGGGAAGTTTTACTAATCTAGTGATTTTAACATCAATCTAACCCTATAATAGCAATCCTAGTGACAAATGTGTCTTGATTCTACCTACTCACACCTCAGTGGGAAGTGAACATCTATTTAGTGTCACAAAATGCAAAGTCTGGTGAGTGTAACAGCATTCTAGCGGTTGTCAGTGTGGAGAAATTATTGTGAGGCTTTCAATTCCAAAGCTTTAAAAATTGTACTAAGGAAAGTTATAATGGTATATACTATTTACTCTTTTGATACATTTTCTGCTTCCTTTTATTTCTGTACTTTATTCTATAATAGTAGTATTTAACTTTTGTCTTAGGTTCAGGAAAATATTGATGTTGATACTTACCAATTTAGACAGCATTCAGGCAAAATTTTTAATTTGGTTCCCCTTTAGCACATAGAAAAGTATGCTGAAAAGTGTATCTAGGGTCCCCAGCTTCACCATCTGCATTCTTTGACCTGTGAGCAGGACATTTTTTTTTTTTGCCATGCATTTGGAGTTGTGTTTCTGACATTTTCTAGATGTTCTCCAATTTGCTAGAGACATGTGATTCTGTCTCTGGATCTAGCTAATAATAAAATTCTCTACCTGAGAGGTTTTGCTTCAGAGAGTGGCAGGTTTTTAATTAATTTTAATAATGTAAAATTCCATTAGGAAACTTCCATCAGTTCATTGTGCAAACTAGTTATTTTCATACAGTAAAATTCTCATAAGTGTTCCCATCTATTTCTGAATTATTCATTTTTTCTGACTTGCTTATCTAATTATCTATGCTAATATCACATTGATTTGAAAATGGTGACTAAAATATTTTAATATCTTACAAGCCAATTATACTCTTAATTTTTAAGTAGCATTGGCTTTTACTGCTATTTACTCTATCATATGAGATTTGAAATAAGTTTTCAATACCAAAGCAAAAATGCCTTAGAATAATCTTTGGATTTGAGTGAAATCATTTTAGATGTATATATGAATTTTGTTAGAAGTTCTAATTTTATGATATTAGAACTTCCTAAATTAAGATAATAATTATAGATTTGTGTCTGTTTGACAGTGGCTTTTGGACATGGCTGTGGGATGTGGTCCATTGCTGAGGTGGCATATGTGTTCAGAGGAAATTTTAAAAAAAGAATAAAATGAACTAAAAGTCAGGTTGCTTTTAGTAATTATCATCTTGCAGCAGTTCCAAATCAATATCATGGATAAAATATCCATCTCCATTATGGTGATCAACTCCTACATACCTCACCCTTTTTTACTCCAGTATGATAAGGTTTTATACTTTTCATTTAAAAAAATTTTTGCGTATTATTTTTAATTGACAAGTAAAAACTGTGTATTTATGGTGTACAATATAATGTTTTGATATACATATACATTGTGGAATGGCTATATCAAGCAATTTAACATATGAATTACCTCACACATGAATTACCGCTTGTGTGTCGAGAGCACTTAAAATCTACTTGCTCAGCAATTTTCAAGTATACAATATATTGTATTAACTGTAGCAGCAAGGCATACAATAAATCTCTTGATCTTATTCCTCCTATCTAATGAAAATATTTTATCCTTTGACAAACATGTCCTCAACACCACTGGCCCACAATCTCTGGTAAACACCATTTTATTCTCTATTCCTGTAAGTTTGACTTTTTTACACTCCACATGTAAGTGAAATCATGCAGTATGTCTTTCTGTGCCTAGCTTATTACACTTAACATAATGTCCTCCAGGCTCATGCATGTTGTCACAAATAACAGAATTTCATTTTGGCAAAGGATGAATAGTATTCCGTTGTGTATATGTATTACATTTAAAACAATCAGTTCGTTCATTGATGGACACTTAGATCGAGGCTATGTCTTGGCTCTTGTAAATAATTTTTCAGTGAACATGGGAGTGTAGATATCACTTGAACATACTGATTTTATTATTTTTTGCATAATGCCCAGTAGTTGTATAGTTGGGTAATATGATAATTTTAATCTTTGGAGGACCCTCCATATTGTTTTTTATAATTGCTGTACTAACTTACAATTAATTTCACTAACAGTGTTTCAAGGGTTACCTTTCCACCACATTCTCACCAGCATTTATATATTGTCATTTTTATAATAGCCATTTAAACAGGTGTGAGATGATATTTCATCGTAGTTTTAAATTGCATTTCTCTGATGATTAGTGATATTGAGCATTCTTTTCATATACTTCTTGGCCATTTGTATGTGTTCTTTTGGTAAATGTCTATTCAGATCTTATGCCCACTTTGTAATGGAATTATTTGTTTTTTTCTGTTTACTTGTTTGAGTTCCTTATATATTCTGGTTTAATCCTGTGTCAGAGAACAGGAAATATTTTCTCCCAATCTGTAAGTTGTTTATTTTGTTGGTTGTTTTGTTTGCTGTATAGAAGCTTTTTAGCTTGATGTTATATTTTCCTAATTTTGCTTTTGTTGTCTATGCTTTTGGGGTTGTCTTTGCCTAGAACAGGAGCTTTTTTCTGTGTTGACTTTTGGGATTTTTACGGTTTTAGGTATAATATTAAGTCTTTAAATCTATTTTAAGTTGATTTTTGTTTATACTGTGAACTGTGGTCTAATTTCATTCATCTAATTCTCCCATTGAATGTTTTTGACGTCTTTGTCAAAAATCACCTGACCGTAATGGATATATTTATTTCTGACCCTGCTGTTCTGTTCCATTGGTCAATGTGCCTGTTCTGTTCCATTGGACAATGTGCACATTGGTCAATGTGACTTTATAATGGAACTATGCTTTTATTATTACTACAGCTTTGTAGTAGATTTTCAGGTTAGTTAGTACAATACCTTTGGCTTTGTTCTCTTTTTTTTGGTGTAAATTTAGGAGGTACAAGTGTAATTTTGTTACCTGCATACTGAGTAATGGTGAAATCGGGGCTTTCAGTGTATCCATCATTGAAATAATGTACCTTGTACCCATTAAGTAATTTCTCATCTTCCACTCCCATCTCCACCCTTGCAATGACTATCATTCCACAGTCTATGTCCATGTGTACACATTATTTAACTCACACAAATGAGAACATGTGGTATTTGTCTTTCCATGTCAGAGTTATTTCACTTAAGATAGTGACCTCCAGTTCTATCCATGTTGCTGCAAAAAAACATGAATTTATTATTTTTATGGCTGAATAGCATTCCATTGTGTATATATGCCACATGTTTTTACCGAATCATCCATTGATGGACACTTGGGTTGATTTTATATATTTGCCATTGTGAATAGTGGTGTGATAAACATACAGGTAGCTTTTTGTTATAATGATTTCTTTTTCCTTTGGGAAGATACATAGTTGTGGAATTGCTAGAACAAATGGTGGTTCTATTCACTGAGATACCTCCATACTGTTTTTCATAGAAGTTGGTAGTAAATTGCATTCCTTCCAACGGTGTATAAGTTTTTCCTTTCCTCTGCATTCTTGCCAACATCTGTTACAGTTTTGTCTTTTTTAATAGTAGCCATTTTGATCAGTATAAGATAAATATCTCATTGTGGCTTTAATGTGCATTTCTCTGATGAATAATGATGATGAGCATTTAAAAAACATATTTGTTAGCTATTTGTATCTCTTTAAAAAAAAGTCTATTGATGTTCTCTGCCCACTTTTTAATAGGATTACTTGTTCTGTTGTTGTTAAGGTCTTTGAGTTTCTTGTTAAGGCTTTTTTTTCCCCCTCAAGAATATATTGGCTATTCAGGGCCTTCTGTAGTTCCATATGAATTTTACAATTGTTTTTCTATTTTCATTTTTTGGGAACAATTTCATTGAAATATTGGGAGAGATTGCATTGAATTTATAGATTGCTTTGGGTAGTAAAGTCATGTTAACAATATTAATTCTTCCAATCGATGAACATTGGATATTTTTCCATTCATTTGTGTCTTTAATTTTTTTCCTTTCTTATTTTTATTTTGGAGGCAGAGTCTCACTCTGTCACCCAGGCTGAAGTGCAGTCATAGCTGACTGCAGCCTCAAACCCCTGATCCTCCTACCTAAGCCTCCAAAGTAGCTGGGATGACAGGCACACGCCACTACACCCAGCTTTCTTCAATTTCTTTCATCAATGTTTTATAATTTTCATATGGCATTCTTCATGTGTTTCCTCTACTCCTTAATTCAGTTAATTTTAGATTTTGTAGAGTCAAGTGTTCTTGTGAGTGAGGATTTTCTTGTTTACATTTCTGATTATTAGAAGTATTGATAAAAGATAAAATCATACATTTCATTAATTGTTACACTGTACTAATATCTCTTCAGTTTTCTAAGCATGCAACTATTCTATCTGGAAGAAAATATTTACTTTCTGTTTTTTTTAACCTTTTTTTTTAAACTAATATTTATATCAGTAATTTTAACCTCTGTCTTCTCATTTTTGCTACAGCTTCAAAGATAATAGTGCTGCTATTATCTGTTTCTTAAAACAAATGGCCACTATTTCACATTTTAACTGAACAATTCCCGATAGTCTCTTCTATACTATTTACAGTATACACAAAGTTTCCTGCTAATCTTATTCACAGTTGTTTTTTTACTTTTAATTAATGACATTGACTGTATATTATGACAAATAACAGCATTTTTTAAAAGACCACATGATTATTCTTACATAATTTACTGGTACATAGATTATATTTTTAAATTTCAGAGTTACTTGTAATTTTTAATTAGTTACTTTGACTGAATATTATCAAATTTTTTCTAGCATCTTTGATAAGACCTCAATATTTTTCTTCTATAAATTTACTGATGCATAAATTCATTTCATTTTACATTCATAGTCATATATAGCAGCCACAGTTTTACTGAATTAAATATATAATATTAGTATTAAACATATTCTGGTGAATAAGTTATATTAGAATGTTTTTATACTCTTGAATGTTTTTACTTGTATTTGACTATTACTTAAAAATAGGTGGAATTTAGCTGCAAACTTATTTAGTCAGGGTGCTTTTCTTTTTCATTTTTGTCGGTACACAGTAGGCGCATATATTCATGGGGTACATTAGATGTTTTGGTACAGGTATGCAATGTGTGAAAATCACATTGTGGATAATGGAGTATCTGTCTCCTCAAGTATTTACTTTTTGTGTTACAAAGAAGCAAATTACATTCTTTTAGTTATCTTAAAATGTACAATTAAGTTATTATTGACTATAGTCAACCTGTTGTGCTATCAAATAGTAGGTCTTTTTCCTTCTATTTTTTTTTTTTTGTACTCATTAACCCTTCATAACTCCTCTCCAACTCCCATTCCCCACTACCCTTCCCAGCCTCTGGTAACCATCCTTCCACACTTTTTTTGTCCTTGAGTTCAAATTGTTTTGATTTTTAGATCCCATAAATATATGAGAACATGTGATGTTTGTCTTTCTCTTCTTGGCTTATTTCACTTAACATAATGATCTCCAGTTCCATCAATATTGTTGCAAAATGACAGGATCTCATTTTTTTATGGTTGAATAGTACTCCATTGTGTATACATACAATTTTTTCTTTATCCATTAATCTGTTGATAAACACTTAGGTTGGGTACAAATCTTGGTTACTGTGAACAGTGCTGCAACAAATATGAGAGTGTAGATAACTCTTTGATATACTGATTTATTTACTGTTGTGTATATACCCAGCAATGTGCATGCTGAATCATGTTTTTAGCTCTATTTTTATTTTATTGGGGAAACTTCAAACTGTTCTCCATAATGGCTGTACTCATTTATATTTCCACCAACAGTATGTAAGAGTTGCTTTTTCTCCATATCCTTGTCAGCATTTGTTACTGCCTGTCTTTTGGATATAAGTCATTTTAACTGGGGTTGGATGGTATCTCATTGTACTTTTGATTAGCATTTCTCTAATAATCAGTAAAGTTGAGTACCTTTTCATATACTTGTTTGCCATTTGTATGTCTTTTCTTGAGAAACTTTTATGCAAATCTTTTGCCCGTTTCTTGATCACATTAATAATTTTTTTCTATAAAGTTACGTGAGCTTCTTATGGTTATAAATCCCTTGTCAGATGAGTAGTTCGCAAATATTTTCTCCCATTCTATGAGTTGTCTCTTCACTTTGTTGATTGTATTATTTGCTGTGCAAAACCTTTTTAACTTCATGTGAGCCCATTTGTCCAGATTTGCTTTGGTTGCCGGTGCTTGTGGGGCATTACTCAAGAAATTTTTGCCCAAACCCAGGTCCTAGAGATTTTTCCCAATGTATTCTTGTAGTTGTTTCATAGGTTGAGGTTTTAAATTAAGTCTTGAATTATTTTCATTTGATTTTTATATATGATGAGAGAGGTCTAGTTTTATTTATCTGCATGTAGATATCTAGTTTTCCCAGCACCAGTTGTTGAAGGGACTGTCTTTTCCCCAGTGTATGTTCTTGGCACCTTTCGGGAAAATGAGTTCACTGTAGGTATGTGAATTTGTTTCTGGATTCTCTATTCTGCTCCATTTGTGGAACAGTGAACTCTTTTTCCTTAAAGGTGCCAAGAACCAAAATCATGCTGTTTTGGTTACTATAGCTCTGAAGTATTATTTGAAGTCAGGTAATGTGATTCTTTCAGTTTTATTCTTTTTGCTCAGGATAGCTTTGGCTATTTTGAGTCTTTTGTGGTTCCAAATAAATTTTAGGAGGTTGTTGTTTTTATGAAGAATCTTATTGGTATTTTCATAGGGAATGCATTGGATTTGTAGGTTGCATTGGGTAATATGGACATTTTAGCAATATTGATTCTTTCAATCCATAGACATGGAGTATCTTTCCTTTTCATGTGTAGGTGTCCCCTTCAATTCTTCAATTTCTTTTCTTCTTTTTTTTTTTTTTTTTTTTTGACTGAGTCACGCTCTGTCACCCAGGCTGGAGTGTAGTGGCATGATCTAGGCTCACTGCAACCTCTGTCTTCTGGGTTCAAGCGATTCTAATGCCTCAACCTCCCGAGTAGCTGGGACCTCATGTGCGCACCACCACGCCTGGCTAATTTTTTGTATTTTTAGTAGAGATGGGGTTTCACCACATTGGTCAGGCTGGTCTTGAATTTCTGACCTCAAGTAATCAACCCACATTGGCCTCCCAAAGTGCTGGGATTAGAGGCGTGAAGGCGTGAGCTACCATGCCTGGCAGTCCTCTTCAGTTTCTTTCATCAGTGTTTAGTGGTTTTCATTATGGGAATATTTCACTTCTTTGGGCAAGTAAATTCTTAGGTATTTAATTTTTTTGTAGCTATTGAAAATGGGATTGAATTTTTTAATTTCTTTTTCAGATTGTTCATTTTGGCATTTAGAAACTCTATGGATTGTTTACATTGATTTTGTATCCTGCAAATTTACTAAATTTGTTTATCATTTCCAATAGTTATTATGGTGAAGTCTTTATGTTTTTTCAAATATAAGATCATATCATCTGCAAACAAAGATAATTTGACTTCTTTTATCCAAATTTAAATTCCTTTTTTTTTCTCTTGTCTGGTTGCTCTAGCTAGGACTTCCAGTAACATTCTGAATAACAGTGGTGAAAGTGGGCATCTTTCTCACATTCCAGATCTTAGAGGAAAGGCTTTCATTTTCTGCCATTCAGTATGATGCTAACTGTGTGTCTGTTGTATATAGCTTTTACTATGTGGTGATATGTTCCTTCTATACCTGTTTTTTTTTTGGGAGTTTTTAATCATGAAGGGGTGTTGAATTTTATTGAATGCTTTTTATGCATCAATCGAAATGATCATATCATTTTTATCTTTCATTCTGTTAATGTTAACATCAATTTGATTGATTTATGCGTAATGAACCAGCTTGCATCCCAGGGATAAATTAAATCCCACTTGGTCATGATAACTGATCTTTCTAATGTATTGTTGAATTTCTTTTGCTAGTATTTTGTGGAGAATTTTTGCATCAATATTCATCAGAGATATTGGCCTGTAGACTTCATTTTTCATGTGTCTTGGTGTGGTTTTTGTATCAGGGTAATACTGGCCTCATAGGATGAGTTTGGAAGTATTCTGATCAAAGTGCTTTCCAAGAATAAACTACCAATAATCTTCACATTTTCTTCTGTAGTAATTAATTTATCAAGTTACTTGTCCCTATTGGGTTAATATTGGTAGATCAACTATTACTAATGATATGGAGAAGAGACAAGGAAATACTGGCTAGGAAAGGGCAGTTCTTTTGCAAAGACCCCACCCTCAAGCCTGGATACCCATGGCCCTAAATGAGGACAGGCATTCCTGTTTTCATGCTGAAAAACTACTTTTTGACCTGCCATGCCCCCTATCCTGTACCCATATTAACCCCAGGCCTCAGGCTCCAGAAGCAGAAAAGGAGAGGAGCAGACAAATAGCAGAACAGTGTGGCAGAGAAAGAGAGAAGAGAAGGGGTGTCTGAACGCCTAGAGGAGTTTGACTGGTGATGTATGGAGAGGATATCGGCTGCTGAGCAGCCAAACTCCAGGGGAAGATCATCTTCCCACTCTATCCCCTTCCCAGCTCCTCATCCGTCTTGCTGAAAGCCACTTCCACTACTTAATAAACCCCCTGCATTCATGCTTCAAGTCCGTGTGAGACCTGACACTTTCGGGAGACTGAACAAGAGCTCAGGATACAGAAAACTGTCACACTGGCCTTCTGCTCTTATAAAGAGGCAGAGGGTCCACTGAGCTGGATAACACTTAAGCTGTCCATGGATGGCAAGGCTAATAGAGTGCACTGTAACAAACACTCATTTGGGCTTTGGTAGTCACAGGCTCCCACCTCTGGAGGCTGCTGTGGGGCTGGAGTCCAGTGCCCTGGCTCCTACCACTGCCTGTCTATGTGCTCCTCCCTCCCATAAGGGGTTTGAGCAGTGGCAGTGACCACACAGATGAGCCACACTCCTGTTGCATGTCCTGCAAGGGCAGTCAGAGAACTCTTCCCTTTCACTAAGCAATCATCTATTTCTTTGAGATTTAAAAAATCTTGCTGCTGTCTGTGGATAATTCATTATTTTTAATCTCCAATGCATTACTCTCTTTTTTCCTTATTCAAGCACGTCAGTTTTTGATTAATTTATCTTTTCCAGTATTTTCTTATTTTCTATTTCATTATATTTTTGTCAGCACTTACTATTGTTAATTTGTACTTTCCTATATTTTTAAAATTTTGTTTAGTACTTTTTTTAAAAAAGTATTACTATATTTTCTTTCTTATTGATGAAGGCATGTGATGGTACACATTTTAATCTCACTTTGATATGATGAATTCACTCATATGTAACATTAGGAAGAGGTTTCCTTTTAATAAAAGTTTTTTTTCCTATAGTAGAATAAGTCTGCAATAAGGATAAAGCCCAGTATTAGAATATGTTGATGTCCTAATTCCAGTGCCTGTGTATGTGACCATATTTGGAAATAGAGTTTTTGCAGATGTTATCAAATTAAGATGAGGTCACTAGAGTGAGCTCCAGTCCAGTATAATTAAAATCCTGACAAGCAGAGGCAAGCATTATGTGACGACACACACAGAGAAATGGACATGTGACAATAGAGGCAGAGACTGAGGCCTTGCCACTGCAAACTAAGAAATACCAACAATTGCTTGGCAAACGACTAGAAGCTAGGGCGGATCAGGGAAAGATTTATTTTTCTAGGTTTCAGAGGGAGCATGTCTCTGACAACACCTTGAATTCGGATATCTAGCCTCCAGACTGTGATACAATACATTTCTCTTCTTTTAAGCCACCCAATTTTGGTACTCTGTTACAGCAGCCCTAGGAAACTAATATACCCATCCACCCAGCTAAACAAACAAAAACAAAATATACCTCACATGGACTTTTAAATTATAGTTTTCTAAGTGTAACAGTCATTTCAGTGCTATTTCAGTACTGGTGCTACAATTTCAGAATTTTATTGATCAATATTTAAAAAATTCCCAGAGGAAAAATCCTTATCATAAATGAGATACCTATTCCTTCCTCTGTAAGTTACAGGATATAAGGAAGTTTCAGTTGCCACTTTCTGAAGGATCAGAATTCTGAGTCATCCCTCCATGATTTATTTTAAGCTTTTCTATTTATAGTCTGTCTGCCACAATACCCATAATATATATATATATATATGTTGGCTTAGGGCCATTCTCCAGTTTCAGTAAAAATGAAAATTCATATCATTTTTGTTTGATTTGGTCATGTCTTTAGCTCTCTGTGTGGAAATCATAAAATGTGTTCATAATTTTATACTTCCTCTTCTTCTCTATTCCAAAAGTAAGCTTTCTGTTAGGTGGAGCTATGTTTATTTATAGCTTTCACACCTAGAAGGGTATTTGGAACATTGTAAGCATAAAATAAAGATGTATTAAAGGAATCAAAGTTATCCATTCATTTGCTTACTTAATGACAAAGAAGTGGAAGGAAAATATAAATTCCCAAACGTATAAAACATTTACCATAGAATACATTTTATATGACATTTTATTATACAAAAGATAGAGTAATAGAACAATGTAAATATAACAATCAGTGTTAAAAATGAGTTTTCTAATATGGACAAACTATTTTTAAAAGATGCTCCAATATCAATTTCTGAGGGTGATATATATTTTTAATTGATATTGTCATAAGTTTCCAATTTTTACCTGGCACATTCCAGAGCAACAGAGCCTGCATTAGTGTTGATAATTAGAATCCAAGTTCCATTTCTATTAATCTTTGTGTGTTTATGTTTTCCAGTCAATAAAATAGGCCAGTGACCATATTCATCCATGACGGTTGTGAAGATAGCATTGGTTTTAGAACTCTTGACAGATAAGTGACAGCAATCTATGAAACCAACTGATCCTACGCATAACATCAAAATCAACAAATCAAACTCCCTTTTATCAATTACGTACCTAATAGCTACAAAGTCCATTTTAATGGTCATTAGAGACTTGCCTTGGAATAAAATAAATAATACTCGTCTCGACAAATGGCATCTGTTTTTAATAATTATTATCATTTCCTCTTTTTTCTCCTACGAATGTATTAAAAATCTAAATTTAATTAGCAATCCTTTAACAAGTACTTATAGTTTATAAAAATCACTGACCATAAGTCGTTGAGTTGCTTGTTCAACTTTGACAAATGGAGAAAAAAATAAAACCAAAAGGAATTCATGGCTTAAGTTCCCTAAGAGAGTGAACAAAAACGCAAAACAGAAATGCCTTTGAAGAACTATTATGTCAGTGCAAAAGTAATTGTGGTTTTTGCCATTGAAAGTACCAGCAAAAACTATGATTACTTTTGCACCAAACTAATATCAGTTATGTAATTATAAACTTAAACACTACTTTATTATGTCATGATTGTTCTTGTGTGTCTAGTGCTTTCTGGTTTTCTATAGTTTTCCAACTATCCATTAGGCAATTACTTCTTTCCCACTTTTATTTTTTTTCTTCAGACAGAGTCTCACTCTGTCACCCAGGCTGGAGTGCAGTGGGGTGACCTCAGCTCCCTGCAACCTCTGCCTCCTGGGGCTCAAGCAATTCTTGTGCCTCAGTCTCCTGAGTAGCTGGGATTACAGGCACCCACCAGGACGCCCGGCTACTTTTTGTATTTTTAGTAGAGAGGGGGTTTCACCATGTTGGCCAGGCTGGTCTTGAACTCCTGGCCTCAAGTTATCCTCTCACCTCAGGCTCCCAAATTGCTGGAATTACAGGCATAAGTTACCACGCCCAGCCTTTTCTCCCACTTTTGACTCTCATTTTGAAGTAATCTATCCTGATATAATTTTCTTCACTAGTGGAAAGATAAGAGTATAATCTAAGTTTGGCCTGACAAATTTGTTTGCTCTAAGATATTAAATCTTGAGGTAAATGATGAAAGAATAGAGTGGATTCCTCTAGTTGAAATACACTTTTGAGACTGATCAGATTCTTGGAATTTGCCAACTACCTTTTTTTTTCTCAACCAGATTCTTCAATTTTTCTTAAAAAGTCTGCAATGTGCTACCATATCATTGTAATTAAAATATGTTTTTTACTAAGTTGTCTAGGGTCTTTTCATGTTGATTTATTTAAATAAATCACTCTGACTCAGATTTGTAATAAATCAGATTAGTCATATTTATGGAATAAATTAAAATAAGTCTAACTATTTATATGAAAGTTAATCTCCATAACGGCAAAGGTAAATTTTTCACCGTTATACTTGAATTTCCATAAGAGATCTTATACTGTGTTATTTGATGAATGTTTATCTAATGAATTAAAAATTAATGACTTTATTAATGCATCTTGTTTCTGTGGCACCCGAAAGTGATTTTAGCCCTTTAATGAGGTGAAGTAAGTCTCAAATATTTCTTCATTTAAAAATTTAAGCTTTTTTCCTTTAAAATTAACAACTCACTACTCATAAATATTAGGAGAGAGAAACTCTAAAATAAAATAAGTTATCTTAGGTCACATTAGCCAACAACTATCTGTTGTTTTACTTAATATGTCACTGTTCTAAAAGCATTTGAAAGAGAAGAGTGAAATTAATAGTACAGAAATCATAGGATACAAACAAACATGACAAAAAATTTATGAGCAGGTTTCTAGCCATGACAAAAAAAATATTAATATGCAGGAAAAAAGTGTAGAGGGAATGAAACTAGACTTAACTTCCATAATGTAGTGCTTATTTTTTTAAACCTGTTTACTTTGAAGGCCTTTCATCCTGACTACCGATATAAATATCATCAACTGTGATTTTCTTCCAAGTCATTGTCTGGCATGGGATGTTATCAAGTGAGTTTAGCTGTACTTTAATTTTGGGGGCCAGTAACTTAAAACTACACACACACACACACCTCATTTTTAGAGTGTTCGCTTATTTGGCTAACTAAAAACTGTTTTACTCACATTATGCAACAAAATTTTTCTGTACCAAAATAACCCTGCTAGGTATTATGACCATTATTTCCTAAAATAATGATACTTTAATGAAAAAAAACACATAACCAAGATTAAAATAAATATATTTGCTTTGAAATATTTAAAACTAGGTGTTACTACCTTACATCATATTAGTAATTATGTATTACTTTAATTTTTGTGTCAGTTAAAATTTAACTATTAACTATCTTTAATGATTTAATGAAATAGTTAATGATCTAATGAAACAGTTATTTTTCAGGACTGAAAAATAAAATTTGAATAAAATCACTTTTCAGACTTTCATTTTCTAGTCTGACATGAATGGACTTTGGTAGTCTTCACTCCTGTGCTTATAACAAGAAAAAAGCTGAACAAACTGAAAATCATAGCTCTTTGTTGTTACCTGAGAGGACTGAGGTCACAGGGAAACCTACTCCTCCCAAAATTGAAGAAATAGTTGGATATGGAGAATTATTTAAGTAGAAGCCCAGGAGGAAAAAACAAAAAACAAAAAACAAACAAAAGCTCAATGTAAACCAATACTGGGGTAGTGAAACCTTAACTGTAAGTGACAAAATCATGAAAACTCAGTGTGAATATCCTGAGTTTAAACTCTGGGTGTTTAATCTTATTTTATGAGTTTTGCCTTCAGAACACTACCAGGCTCTCACAATGAAGACTGGAGAAAAATCTGCTTGAAGAAGGAGGGGAAAAATCATTATTATTAACGTCTGACCAAAGCATTCTATTTTCCTTAACAATATCTACCCTAAAGAAGTCTATTTTACCAGAGCCTAACTGACTGGGGTTTTACCAGAGATGAACTAACTCAGGGTAATCTAACTCCAGCTCCATCTTTCCTTCCTATATTCCATGAGAAGCATTGGTGAAGGTCATAGCGCACTAAAAGACTGAGACCCAATTACAGGACTAAAGAATGCTTCTTTCCCCCACACACCTTACCACCGCACCAATCAGTCTCTTGTATAACAAAACACATACAACTGAAAGAACTGTGCATTCTTAATGTTATATGAGAAGAGGTCTCTAGGGAGACCAAAAGGCAACAAGGGTCACATAAGCAGACACGAGAAAATTGTCAGACTCTGACACCCGCAGCAAAGAATAACTTACAATGTAAGTGGACAGCACGATAACAAATGGACAATTAAGCAGAGAGATGAAAACACCAAGAAAGAGTTAAAATAAAACACTAGAAATCAAAAACATTACTGAAAAGAAGAATGTCTTGAATGGGTCAATAGATTGGACATAAACAACATTGTATACAGTGAGATTAAGGATATGTCAATAGAAACTTTTGAAATTGAAATGCAAAGAGAAAATAGAAAAGAAAATTAGAACAGAATAACCTAGAACTGTGGGACAATTACAAAAGGTATAACATTCATAATGAGACTACCAGAGAGAGAGGAAAGAGAAGAAGAAACAAGAACTATTTGCTGCAAAAATGACAGAATTTTCCAAATTTAATGATAGGTACCAAACCAAACCACAGACACACAAAGCCCAAAGAACAACAAGCGGAATACATACTAAAACATTTACACCTAGCATATCATGTTCAAACCACAGAAAACAAAAGAGAAAGAAAAAAATCCTGGTGGATGCCGGGGAAGTGAAAGGGGGAATGGGGACCTTGTGCTTATACAGGAGCAAGGATAAGAATTAAGTAACAACATATTAAACGATTTCGGTTTACAGATAAGCAAAATGAATGATAGTGATGTTATGGAGGGTGGGAGGGAGGAATTGGGAATACTCTGTTCTAAGGTACTTGCACTACCTGAGAAGTGATATGGTGTTACAAAAAGCATAACTTGTATTACTATATGCTACAAACGCAATGGCACGACTAAAAGATTTTTTCAATTAAATCATACAAAATGCTCAATTAAAACAATAAAAAGCAGAAAAATAATAAAAGAAAAAAATAAACAAAAACAAAAGTAGTAAGCAGAAAACACTAAAAATTTGGTAGATATTAATCCAAGTATGTCAATAATCACTTTAAACATCAGTGGTCTAAATATAACAAATAAATGAAAGAAACTGTATGAATGTTTTGTTATAGAACATGATCCAATGATATATTATCTAAAAACAACCCACTTCAAATATTAACATATGATACATTAAGTGAAAGTATGTGATACATCGTGCTAATACAACTGAAAGAAAGCCGGAGTAACTATAATAATTTCAGACAAGGCAGACTTCAGAGTAAGAAAAATTACTAGGCATAAATAACAGTATTACATAAGGATTTGGGGGCAATGATGGAGTATCAAAGAGAAGACATAACAATTCTTAATATCTTTAATAATTAAGCATCTAAATATGTAAGACAAAACAGAGATGCAAGAAGAAATGGATGAATCCATTATTACAGCTGGAGACTTCAACACCTCTTTATTACTAATTTACATCCATGAGGCAGAAAACCGATAAAGATGTGGTTGAACTGAACAGCACCACCAATCAACAAGATCTAGTGGACATCTATCTATAGAATACTTCATCCAAAAATGCAGATTCCGCATTCTCCTCAAGCTCTCATGAAAGATTTACCAATATAGACCACATTCTGGATCATAAAATACAACTTAACAAATTTTAAAAAGTAGAAATCATACAGAGTGTGTTCTTAGTTCATATTGAGAAACTGAATTAAAATGAGCTAATGATCTATTGTTATGATAATAATGAATCCATAAATGACTATTATAATTTGTGTTTTTTGTGCACCTGCATTTTCCCAATGTAAATGCAATCACATTAACAGGATCTTGAATACCTACAAAGAAATGGTAAGCAATAGGGCAACTGGAAGAACGTCAGCAGAAATTTGCAAAACATTCATTTAAAAAAAGGTGTTCAGAACTTCCACAATTAACAAATGAGCAGTTTAACGTTTTAATTCACATTTAAAAAATAAAATTGGCCAGTCTACATCACATGAAGAAAGTATAGTGCTATTATTACGTTCCAACTCTGTATTACTCACATTCTAGTATACTGTGAGTAACACACTAGCCCCTGAAAATGAGTGTTTACATGAAATTTCTCTGGCTGTGCATCAGTTCATTTTGTTGGTCCTCTCAGGAGGTCCTCATTGTTAATGCGGCTTCCTTTTTACCTCTGCTATTGCCTGACATAAAATAGGAAGATATTTACTCAGACTTTCTAGATGTAATTCACAACTCCTTCCTGTTGCCACTTCCAGATCCTCTTCAGATTTATAGTATAACAATAATTACTGTTCATCTTTTTTACTGATCTGACTCCAGAAGAGATTGTGACTAAGCATAATTCTAGGTATCCATTCTGCTGATCACAATGCATATCATATGATGGTTAATCAATAAAAGCTTGATCAATGAGTGAATGAATGGATGAATAAATCACATAATAAAACCAGTACAGTGAGGGATTATTTTTCTTCATTCTGATCTAAGAACATTATTGCAAAGGGCTCCACAATTTGACTATATTTATTATGATAGTACGCATGCAAACACAAATATGTCTGCAATATAGAACCTTTTTGCTGATATAAAAGAATTCTATTGAATTTCATATTAATAGACAACGTACCTGGAAGTGAATTTCACTAAGTCTTTTCATAGCTAGTCTCTGCCCCAGGTTCTTCAACCTGGTACACTGTCACAAAGTATTAATGATGGATTTAATACTGGAATGAATATACACACACACGAAAAAAGTAAAATGGTGTTGCACAACTGCTGTAGAACATTCATGCTTTCTGTAATTTCAAATGTTGTTATTAAATTTACTTACCGACTTATAACCTATGTAGACATAAAAATATAAAAACCAAAGTTAATTATATTACAGTCAACATTTCTAAAATATAAAATTTGATGTAAAAACCTGAGGCAAAACCAAAATAATTGTGAAAAACTAAGACAGAGTTCATATATCAAATAGAAAAAATAAAATTCTATACTCTTGAAAAATTATCCATATGCCAAACCAAATTTCTGCATCTGTATCAGTCTTTGGATATAGCTAATTACCACATACCATTGTTATACTCTGTATCACACTTCAGACAAAATGATCACAAAATATTTGAGAATTTATGAAGCAATAAGTAGTTAATAATGATCTCTGTCCAAAGTTTTATCCTGGGATATTCATACATTGTGCAATTGCTAAATTGAGCTAATGAACATTACTTCACATTCTTTTTATTTTTTATTTTTTGTGGTGAAAACACACTGTACATTCTTAGCAATTTTCAAGAATGTATTATGTTGTTATTAAGTGTAGTTGTCATGTTGTACAACAGATGTCTTGAACACATACATATTTAAAACATATTGTACAGGATATATATATACAGTTTTTATTTCCAATTAAAATACATTATACGTAAAAGGATTTATCCCGGGTGGAAAGAAATATGAACAAGTAATAACTCTAAATATTTTTACATTTTAAAATTGTTTCCCATTAGACTTTGATTAAAAATAAATTTGATGTTCGTAACACAAAGAAATAATAAACACTTGAGGTGATAGAGGCCCCATTTGCTCTGATGTGATTATTACACATTGTATGCCTTTATCAAAATATCACATGCACTCCAGAAATATATATATACACACATAAATATGCATACATATATATACACACATACATATATATACATATATATACACATACATATATATACATATATACACATACATATATACATATATGTACACATACATATATATACATATATATATACATATATGTACACATACATATATATACATATATATATACCTAGTATTTACCCATAAAAATTAAAAATTCAAAAAATCTGAACCAGAAACAATGTCTAGAGGAACACTTATGCTAAAGAACCATGGAATTTATGAGCTGAACGGTACCTATGTGGAGCCCATCTTCTCTAATCTGCTCATTTTATGAATGAAGTGACAGAGGAATACAGAAGGCAAAAGACCTGCTGGAAGTCAGAGGGTTCTCGATAGCAGCAAAACCATACTGGAATGCAGCTCTCCCAACTCCAGTGCCATTTATGCAATTACAACAGTGTTTCTCAGCAGCAGCACTGTTAACATTTTGAAACTGATGCTTCATTGAGAAGGATAATCCTGTGCACTGTAGAATGTTTAGTAGCATCCCTGGCCTCTCCTCACTAGATGCCAGTATCACTTCCCTAGATCCTCCTAAATTTGTAAGAGATGAAAAGGAACAAGATCATGTCCTTTGCAGGGACGTAGATGGACATGGAAGCCATTATCCTCAGTAAACTAACAGAAAAACAAACACCACATATTCTCACTTATAAGTGGGACTGGAATGATGAGAACACATGGACACAGCGGGGGACGATAGACACTGGGGACTCTTGGGGGATGGGGGGCCTGGGAGCAAGAGCATCAGGAAGAACAGCTAATGGATGCTGGGCATAATACCTAGGTGATGGGTTGATGTGTGCATCAAACCACCATGGCACACATTTACCTATGTAACACAAGCACATGGGCATGTAACCCAGGACTTAAAAGTTTAAAAAACAAATGTTTTCAGATGTTGCAATTTGTAGGGGACAAATTATTCCCAGCTGAGAACCACTGAGTTACAGAATACTGCAGCTAGAAGGCGCCTAGAGGGAAGGAATTTCTCTTCAAATAGGATCACACCTAAAGCTGCCTAGGATGAAATATTTCATTCTTTAGTTTCCCCGTTAGAGAGAAGGTTCAAAGAATTTTTAGTCAGTGAAGTTCTTCCGTATACCTAGACTAATCATTCTGGCTGCAAATTATAAATTAAAATAAACTCTGAAAAACAAATAAATAAATACATTTGATGAATTATATTGAGGAATGAATGTAAGGATTGTTCACATTAATGTATATATTTCTGAAATATTTTAAGTAAAGGCAATACCATCTTCTTTATACATTTGGTCTCCAACTCAAAAAAATTATCAAGAAGCATTATTGAAGTCATTCTGGTAGTTCTCATAAGCAGATGAAATTTCTAATATTTGCATTTGTTTTCTACTTGATGATAACATTTATATTTCATTCAATCACAAAACAAGTAGTAATACGCATCTGATTTATTTATTACCTGATTTGATTCACTTTAGATGTGAAAGTTTAGACAACTTTCTTGAGTTTTTTATGTATTTTATTAGATTTTAAGTTAAATTAAATTTCTATATTTATTTTATTTTTCTTTCTTTGTTTTTCTCTTCCATTGATTATAAGGTATTTGGATAGAAACAGTGGGTGTTTCATGTATTTAGATGTTGTGATGGATATATTCCACTGCCTCATCCACCTCATAACCTCCCTTGAGGATTCAAGTAGGAACATTTTCACCTTGCCTCCAGTCCTAACAATCAAGTTTCCCAACCATAATGGAATCTAGCAAAAAGTACAGTGAATATGCAAATGTTAAAGGAACTTTGAGGATATATGTTGCAACATGTTTTTGTGCATAATCACTGTTGTAGAGATGAGAGAATGGCAGCATATGTACCAGATACTTGGCAATGAACAACATATGTTATTTTTCCCAGAAGTGTTTTAAGTTGAAACAAGATGTATGAAAAAATTTTAAGTTCATGTGTCCCTTTTGTAAGAGCATGAAAAAGAGATGTCTTCCTTTGTAGTAATAATGATATTGTCACCAATGGTTAATAGTATTCCCATTTCTAAAGATTTAACTAGCCAATAAAAAAGATGAAAAACTTCAGAAATAGGAGAAAGATGGGAAAACACTATGATAAATTATATATTTATATGTGAACTTCCTGCTTAAATAAAAATAGTCACTCCAGTAAGTCATTTAATTGGCCAGAAAGCAACAACAAATGAGCAAGTTTGATGAAAGCTTGATGTCTCTCAATCAAAATTAATGACCACTAAGTAAATATTATTAATAGTTTCTTAATAATTATTATTAATATAGACTATTTACACAAAATGTTAAATTGTAAGCTGAGCAAAAAATGAATATCTGATGAATACAGTTCATACTGATGTAATTTAAAATGACTAAATAAATAGGAAATGAAACATTTTTTTAAAAGGTAATCTAAATAATATATGGTTTTTTCCCCTTCATGAGGTGAAGCTTAATCATCCACCTCCCACCGTCCCTTGACTGTGGACAATTAGTGATTTATTTTCAAAAAATAGAGTATGGTAAAAATGAAACCTTACCATGGAGGAAAGTGACAAATACTACCTTGGCAAGGTGAACAAGGTAAACATCCTTAGTGATAAGTCATGTTGATAGCATGTATCCCCGATATGATGTAGTAAAAAGGATACTTCACTTTTGCTCTTTCAAAAACCCATAAACCCAGCCTAATCAAGAGGAACATGTAAAATAACAACAACAAAACAAATTGAGGCACCTTCTATAAAATAGCTGACAAGTACTTCTCAAAACTGCCAAGGTAACAAAAAACAAGGAAATATGAAAATGTCTACACACCAGTAGAGACTAAGGAAATATGACAACTAAATGCAATGTAACATCTTGGATAAGATTCTGGAACAGAAAACATACATTAGTAGAAAATCTTGTGAAATCTGAATCAAATGTGAAGTTTAGTTAGTATTAATATACCAAAGTTGGTTTCTTAGTCATGGCAACTGTACTATGGTAATGTGAGATGTTAACAATAGGAGAAACTGGGTGGGAACTCTTTGTACTTGAGAAGAATGTGTATTTGCTGCTTCTAGGAGTAGTATTCTATCACTAATTAAATTGATTTGATTGGTGTTCTTCAGACCTCTGTGTCCTAACTGATTTTCTATTTGCTATATCAATTACTGAAATAGGATGGCTCAAACAATAAGTGTAGATTTGTCTAGTTCTCATTTTGTTTCTATGAGTTTTTCATCCATGCAACTTGAAGCTCTATTTTTAAGTGCATTAAACATTTAAGCATGTTATGTTTCCTTGGTGAATAATTTTTTTTTAATTACTTAATTTTTTTGTTTTTATTATACTTTAAGTTTTAGGGTACATGTGCACAACATGCAGGTTAGTTACATATGTATACATGTGCCATGCTGGTGCACTGCACCCACTAACTCGTCATCTAGCATTAGGTATATCTCCCAATGCTATCCCTCCCGCCTCCCCCCACCCCACAACAGTCCCCAGAGTGTGATATTCCCCTTCCTGTGTCCATGTGATCTCATAGTTCAATTCCCACCTATGAGTGAGAATATATGGTGTTTGGTTTTTTGTTCTTGCGATAGTTTACTGAGAATGATGATTTCCAATTTCATCCATGTCCCTACAAAGGACATGAACTCATCATTTTTTATGGCTGTGTAGTATTCCATGGTGTATATGTGCCACATTTTCTTGATCCAGTCTATCATTGTTGGACATTTGGGTTGGTTCCAAGTCTTTGCTATTGTGAATAATGCCGCAGTAAACATACATGTGCATGTGTCTTTATAGCAGCATGATTTATATTCCTTTGGGTATATACCCAGTAATGGGATGGCTGGGTCAAATGGTATTTCCAGTTCTAGATCCCTGAGGAATCGCCACACTGACTTCCACAATGGTTGAACTAGTTTACAGTCCCACCAACAGTGTAAAAGTGTTCCTATTTCTCCACATCCTCTCCAGCACCTGTTGTTTCCTGACTTTTTAATGATTGCCATTCTAACTGGTGTGAGATGGTATCTCATTGTGGTTTTGATTTGCATTTCTCTGATGGCCAGTGATGATGAGCATTTTCTCATGTGTTTTTTGGCTGCATAAATGTCTTCTTTTGAGAAGTGTCTGTTCATGTCCTTCGCCCACTTTTTGATGGGGTTGCTTGTTTTTTTTCTTGTAAATTTGTTTGAGTTCATTGTAGATTCTGGATATTAGCCCTTTGTCAGATGAGTAGGTTGTGAAAATTTTCTCCCATTTTGTAGGTTGCCTGTTCACTCTGATGGTAGTTTCTTTTGCTATGCAGAAGCTCTTTAGTTTAATTAGATCCCATTTGTCAATTTTGTCTTTTGTTGCCATTGCTTTTGGTGTTTTAGACATGAAGTCCTTGCCCATGCCTATGTCCTGAATGGTAATGCCTAGGTTTTCTTCTAGGGTTTTTATGGTTTTAGGTCTAACATTTAAGTCTTTAATCCATCTTGAATTGATTTTTGTATACGGTGTAAGGAAGGGATCCAGTTTCAGCTTTCTACATATGGCTAGCCAGTTTTCCCAGCACCATTTATTAAATAGGGAATCCTTTCCCCATTGCTTGTTTTTCTCAGGTTTGTCAAAGATCAGATAGTTGTAGATATGCGGCGTTATTTCTGAGGGCTCTGTTCTGTTCCATTGATCTATATCTCTGTTTTGGTACCAGTACCATGCTGTTTTGGTTACTGTAGCCTTGTAGTATAGTTTGAAGTCAGGTAGTGTGATGCCTCCAGCTTCATTCTTTTGGCTTAGGAGATGACATGATTGTATATCTAGAAAACACCATTGTCTCAGCCCAAAATCTCCTTAAGCTGATAAGCAACTTCAGCAAAGTCTCAGGATACAAAATCAATGTACAAAAATCACAAGCATTCTTATACACCAACAACAGACAAACAGAGAGCCAAATCATGAGTGAACTCCCATTCACAATTGCTTCAAACAGAATAAAATACCTAGGAATCCAACTTACAAGGGATGTGAAGGACCTCTTCAAGGAGAACTACAAACCACTGCTCAAGGAAATAAAAGAGGATACAAACAAATGGAAGAACATTCCATGCTCATGGGTAGGAAGAATCAATATCGTGAAAATGGCCATACTGCCCAAGGTAATTTACAGATTCAATGCCATCCCCATCAAGCTACGAATGACTTTCTTCACAGAATTGGAAAAAACTACTTTAAAGTTCATATGGAACCAAAAAAGAGCCCGCATCGCCAAGTCAATCCTAAGCCAAAAGAACAAAGGTGAATAATTTTTTTTTTTTCTGCTTTTTTTTATTTTTTTTTATTTTTAATCTTTTTTTTTTTTTCTTTTTTTATTATTATTATTATACTTTAAGTTTTAGGGTACATGTGCACATTGTGCAGGTTAGTTACATATGTATACATGTGCCATGCTGGTGCGCTGCACCCACTAACGTGTCATCTAGCATTAGGTATATCTCCCAATGCTATCCCTCCCCCCTCCCCCGACCCCACCACAGTCCCCAGAGTGTGATATTCCCCTTCCTGTGTCCATGTGATCTCATTGTTCAATTCCCACCTATGAGTGAGAATATGCGGTGTTTGGTTTTTTGTTCTTGCGATAGTTTACTGAGAATGATGGTTTCCAATTTCATCCATGTCCCTACAAAGGACATGAACTCATCATTTTTTATGGCTGCATAGTATTCCATGGTGTATATGTGCCACATTTTCTTAATCCAGTCTATCATTGTTGGACATTTGGGTTGGTTCCAAGTCTTTGCTATTGTGAATAATGCCGCAATAAACATACGTGTGCATGTGTCTTTATAGCAGCATGATTTATAGTCATTTGGGTATATACCCAGTAATGGGATGGCTGGGTCAAATGGTATTTCTAGTGAAGGACCTCTTCAAGGAGAACTACAAACCACTGCTCAAGGAAATAAAAGAGGACACAAACAAATGGAAGAACATTCCATGCTCATGGGTAGGAAGAATCAATATTGTGAAAATGGCCATACTGCCCAAGGTAATTTACAGATTCAATGCCATCCCCATCAAGCTACCAATGACTTTCTTCACAGAATTGGATAAAACTACTGTAAAGTTCATATGGAACCAAAAAAGAGCCCGCATCGCCAAGTCAATCCTAAGCCAAAAGAACAAAGCTGGAGGCATCACACTACCTGACTTCAAACTATACTACAAGGCTACAGTAACCAAAACAGCATGGTACTGGTACCAAAACAGAGATATAGATCAATGGAACAGAACAGAGCCCTCAGAAATAATGCCGCATATCTACAACTATCTGATCTTTGACAAACCTGAGAAAAACAAGCAATGGGGAAAGGATTCCCTATTTAGTAAATGGTGCTGGGAAAACTGGCTAGCCGTCTGTAGAAAGCTGAAACTGGATTCCTTCCTTATACCTTATACAAAAATCAATTCAAGATGGATTAAAGATTTAAACGTTAGACCTAAAACCATAAAAACCCTAGAAGAAAACCTAGGCATTACCATTCAGGACATAGGCGTGGGCAAGGACTTCATGTCCAAAACACCAAAAGCAATGGCAACAAAAGCCAAAATTGACAAATGGGATCTAATTAAACTAAAGAGCTTCTGCACAGCAAAAGAAACTACCATCAGAGTGAACAGGCAACCTACAACATGGGAGAAAATTTTCACAACCTACTCATCTGACAAAGGGCTAATATCCAGAATCTACAATGAACTCAAACAAATTTACAAGAAAAAAACAAACAACCCCATCAAAAAGTGGGCGAAGGACATGAACAGACACTTCTCAAAAGAAGACATTTATGCAGGTGAATAATTTTTTATGATTATTCAATATCCCTCCTCATCTCTTGTAATACTTCCTGATCTGAACCATGCTTTGTCTGATATTAATATAGCCTCTCCATCTTCCATTTGATTAATTTTGTTCACATTTCATGTGATTGTAAGGTGCCAAGACCATCTACACTTAATAAAATTGATATGTTTGGATATAAAATTATCAACTTATTAAATTGTATTTGTTTCATCTGTTCTTATTCCTTTTTACTTTTTCTGCCTTTCTTTGAATTAAATATGTATTTTGTGTTACTTGCTGTAAGTTTCTTTATTAGCTTATAATTATACCACTTTGTCTACTAGTTTTAGTGGTTGCCCTAAGTTTCATAATACATAGCTTCAACTTATCACAGTGCATTTACAAATATCACATATTTGCCTATATTTTATGAACACTACAGCAATGTATAACTAGTCTGTTCCACTCTTTGTATTCTTTATTGTCTATTTTAAACTTATGTTATAATATACATAATTAATTGTTATTGTTTTGCTTTATGCAATTATTTTTTGAGTGGCTAAAATAAGAATACATGCCTTTGATGGAGTACAGTGGGGCACAATCATAGCTCACTGCAGTCTCCATCTCTGGGGCTCAAGCCATTCTTTTGCCATAGCATCCCTAGTAGTTGGAACTACAGGTGCACCTAACATGCCCAGCTTTTTTCTTTTTTCAAGTAGAGACAAGGTTTCGCTATGTTGCCCAGGCTGGTCTCAAACTCCTTATCTCAAGCCATCCTCTCGCTTTGGGTTCTAATTTTCTTCTTGTCATTCCTGGAATGATTTATTTCTTTGTGTAGATCCAAGTTTCTCTCTGGTGACAATTTCTGTGTAGCTTTCTTAACCATTCCTTTTAGTGCACATATTCAGACAATTAAATCTAATTATTTGACTGTCTGAAAAAATCTTTATATTGTTATAAACATGTTTATATCAAAATGTTTATATCAAATATACTTATGTTTGATATAAGTATCAAAGTATAATAAACTTCTATTTGTTACAAAATTAGGACTTGGAAGAATTTTCCACACAGTACTTCCAAATTACTCCATTACCTTCTGGTTTTCATGTTTTCTGATAAAAAAAAAATCTTGTTTCCTGCCTAATGATAGAATCTTTTAATTTCAATTTCAATTTTTTTAAAAAAGAGCCAGATGTTCATACAGCCTATTTTTTAGCATTGCTTGATCACAGAGATATAATATTAAAAGTTGTAAAATGTATTCACATCAAGCATTCCCAAATAACAATGTTACAACTTCTAGTAGAGAACATTATTAAAGAAATTCAATATTTATTATGCCTTCAATTATATGCCAGTTGTTAATATTTTTAAAAGAAAATGCCATCTCTGTTTAATAGCTGTTTGACGAAAGAAGACGATTCCCCTAAAATCTCCATCATTTGTTTGATTTAGGACAGATAGAAAGAATGTGTGAGCAAAAGTATAAGTTAGACAGTATGGTCAGGTGATGTGGGAACATTCAGGGGAATAGGCTATGCTTAGATGTACTCTCCCTATCCTAGGGCTTTCTTTTAAATGGCATAATCATACACTATCGCCATCATTTTTTATGGTCATCCTAATGTGGAAATTCATTATTGCTAAATGGTAAAGGTTCAATACATTTCCTAAACATCTTGAGCCCTAAAATAAAGTTTTAACCTTCTATACCACCTATGCCACTCAAAAAAAGAATGTTCAAAACTAAAGTTCTAATTCATGGTACATTTATACATGTATTTTATGGATATTGATTGGCAATTCCATTTCCAAATATATTATTGCAGTACTAAGTCATATGACAATGAAAATGACTACTTCAGCAAAATTGTTTATGGGCAGTCTTGCCACTGCACTACTTTTTGTCATCACTGTATACCACTATTATTAGTAGTGTGAATTAGTTCCTTAATAACTATTTTTAAAAACTAAAGTGGGTGCCTTTCACAAATACACATCATTCAGTAACTGGGTTTCTATTAGTTTCATTTGAATTCCTAAATATTAATGCACATATTTATGTAAAAGTAGATGAACTTCTATTTCAAATTCTTTTGAAAAGCTATGAAATACTTTGTAAGGGAAAACAATCATATTTTACACTTGGAATTTATTCTGTAGTTTTTTCACAATCACTACCTATGAATAGCACTGACCTTTCTTCCCTTCCTTTTGTCCTTCTTTCCTGTCTTCTTTCCTGTTTTTTTTTTTTTTTCCTTTTCTTCCTGTCTTCCTTCCATTTTTTCCTTTTTTGCTCCTCCTTTTCATACTTAGTTACGTGCAGTCAGGGAGGTTTCACATCACCAAGATTCCTATCCCAGAAAAGCAGATATTCATAGCTCTGTGAATGGAATGCGACCCTTGTGGAGAGCCTATAAATGGATGCATGAGGGGCACCTGTTCATGTGGATAAGATAGGGTTATAAACGCCCTTATCTTGCAACGGCTCTTCTAGGTCTCTTTAGGGTTAAGACATACTCCCTTCTGAGAATCTGTGGTCTAACCGGTTGTCTAGTTTCACATCCTGCTTCTATTGACTGTTTGCCACCAGCTTTTGCTGCAATTATTACTAATGATTAGTATCTTACTAAACATAGTTTATGGATAGACTGTGTTTCTGTTTTAAGGCTCTGTTAGAAATTGCTGACACACACACTATACTGTAAATTCTTATCTCTGTGTACTGTACTTCTGCATACCGATGTTATGTTAAAGAATTACTTCATTCCCATGTGACCATCTCACTTCATAATGAAACGACCCTAAATGCCTCACTAACCTACCCCTGCCCTCACTAAACAATGATAAATGCTAGTATATCTAGTGCATTGGCAGCATCACAGGACCAGAAGGCGGTGACCACCCTGAACCCAGCTTTCACTATCTTGTGTGTGTCTTTTATTTCTTGACCTGCCGATCCAACTGGGAACAAAGAAGGAGCCCCGTTGCATTGCAGGCTGCTGGCCAGATCCCACAATAAATATATGTTAGAATCTTATTGCTATTTAAGTGCTTACTAATTAAAAAGTAAAGTGTTATATCTGCCCTCTAAGATTTAACAAGTTAGATATGAAGTACATAGCATCACTTCCTGCCAATTTCACTTTTTGTGTATTGATACTTTCCAGCTCAATTTATCATGATCACCTAAAAACAAATATAAATGCTGAAAAGTTTGACCTTTTCACAGGGCCCCACTCTGGGAAGGAAAACTAACCATAGAAATGGGTGTTTGTATACATTGAAGACTCAACTACTTGGATTCAAATCCTTGATCCAACTTGACTAGTGATGTGAACTTTGATTGATAAGTTTGTTTTAATCTGTAACACAGAAATAATTCCTAATTTATAGGGTTATTTTAAGGTTTGAATGTGTTAATAAATGGGATACACTTGTAAAGTATTGTAAAGTATAGCAAGCATTATAAATATAAGTTGTTATCATCATCATCACACACAAAGGTGGGATGTTTGCTGGAAAATAAGTAACATTTACAGGTGTGGTTAGTAAGCCTCTAATATAACTGCACATCTCTCTGGTCACATACACAAAATAAAGTCAAATAATCTATCAAGAACTCTGAAGGGTTTGAGAATTTACCCTACTTCAAAGCTAACAAGTTCTTGCACTACAGTTTATTTGATAATAGCCTGTCAGCAGACTCCTGAAGTGGAGATAAAGAACATGATTACTCAGGTCACAACAAGTAGTTCTCAACCTTAAATAACATGTATGAGTAGTATGCATTTCTATATTCATTCTATATATTTCAAGGATATTATATTTTACGAGCCATTTGCCATCAAAACATCCAAGTTCTTACCTAAAGACATCATTTTTCAATTTTATTTCCACATTATCATAAGTTATATAATTTTCTGTACCCTTTTGAACATAAATATTAAATAGAAATACCATTTTTTCTCCATAATATGTATGTGAAATTTTGATGCACAGTTTACATTTGATATGTGTTTATTAAAATAATTGCTAAATGTCTGAGTAGATGTTGTAAAATTGACAAACACATACAATGATGCAGAAGTAAAACATTGTTTTGCTAGCTAACGACTATTGTAATGCAAAATCTGAGTTCTAGAAACATGCATTTTATTCAGTGTATGCATAATGATAGGAAATACCAAAAGTATCACAACTATAGTAGACTACAAATCATTTTTATTCTAGGGGAAAATAAAAATATAGGTAACTTATCAAAAAAATTCATGTACTAGAATAAAACTTAAGCAGATAAAATAAATGTGCTGCATTTTCTTGTTTTTCTTATAATCCAAAAATGTTACATTTATAAATGCAATTAAGTAATAGTGCTATATACTTTTTCAGCACTAAGATTATGCATTTTTACTTCCAGCTAAATAGATTTCTTCATATCATTTACTATTCCTGATGACTTAATATGTACTTTAAAAAATGGAAAAAAATACGACATTCAGAAAGTAGAATTTGTGTGGAATAACTATAATTGCATAATTAGAACAAGGGAAGGCAGGTGGCGTTCAGGAGTCAAACATTTTGTCAATCCTCCTTCATTTTCCCTTGTTCTTTCTTTAGCAGCGAACTTAAACCATAGCCGACTACACTCCCCATTCACAAGTCCTGTCATTTTTAGAATCAATGTGAATATGAAATGAATAATACCTGAAGAAACACAACCACCTCCAATTCACTTCCACAAATTGATAGGTGGGTGTCATCTTTACAGTTAAATTGATTCAGGTGATCTTGCGATTAATGTTCTTAAATAAGATTTCTTCTTTCTTCACTTTGGCCATTTATTCAAATGGCTTCAATAAATGACCAACATAGTGACTGGTTAAGTAAATGCCTTAGCTAGATACAGCTTATCATTATTATTCAAAGTTCTCTGAAGAAATATAAGGGTTCTACCCTTTAACTCAGCTTATGCTCTTTTCCTGATGCTCTCTTCCATTAGGTTAAATCTCCATAAATTTTTTGTAAGATTATTTTTAAGAATTCTTATTAACCCAGCCATAATACTATACTGGGCGTGGTCTTTGGACCATGATTCCAATCATTTTTCTGAATCCAGATGAGAGATTGCATCCACCTTTGTAGGTCACTTACTGTTGCTGATGAGTCTCTCCTACCACCTAGACATGCTCTGCCAATTGAACAATAACTTTTCTTAGGCCCATGGTCCTTCCTTTCTTTCTCTATCTTGCATTACTCGGTCAGGGTAAACTTTATAAAATCAACCTTTGAATCTCAATCTCATGATAGGACATCTAAACATTGACAGATATTCTTCCTTAAAGTGTTAATAACTAAAGCCAATCGTTTCTAACCAGTGGACAGAATACAGCAGTTAAAATATAAGAGACATGTAGCTCTTACATTGTTATTTTCCAGGTGACATGATTTTCTATCAATTCAATTTCTTTATATACTCGGGATATAAGCTGTTTGATATGTAATTTATAAATACGCTCTCCCTGTCTGTAGCTTGTGTTCTTATTCTTTTAACTGTGACTTTCACAGAACAAAAACTCTTCATTTTGATGTTTAATTAATTTTTAAATTGCACTTTTGGCATCATATGTAAGAACTTTTTGCTTTAACAAAATTAGGAAGATGTTCTATATTTTTACTCTCTTTTGAGATAATTTGCATCTGCAATATTTATTTAAGTTCCTTAGAGATGGTGGATATTAAACCTTTGTCAGATGCATCATTTGCAAAAGTTTTCTCCCATTCTGTATGTTGTCTATTTACTCTGTTGATAGTTTATTTTGCTGTGCAGAAGCTCTTTAGTTTAATTAGGTCCTATTTGTAAATTTTTAGGTTTTTTGCAATTGCTTTTCATGACTATGTTATGAAATCTTTACCAGACATAACAATATGTCTTGACTATTTTTTAAGCTGTCTTAAATTGTGTCGTGTGAGTCCTTTATGTCTTTTTTTCAAAATTGTTTTGGCTATTCTTGTTTATCTCTCCAAGTTTTTTAATAAACTTGTCTATATCTGCAAAGATTCCTTCTGGAATTTTGAATGGGATTATTTTAAACTTATAGATCATCTTAGGGGGAATTGACATATTAACTACATAATATCTTCTAATTCATAAACACAATGTGTCTTTATATATATGCTACAAACAAAATGTTTACATTATCTTTCACCTTTTTTATTTTTACTATTCTAGTTTGCATTGTCTGACAATGCTATAGCCATTGAAGCTTTATGATAATTAATGCTTTCATGATGTATATTTTTATTTTTGTTTGTATGCTGTCTATATCATTATGTTTCAAGTAGCTTCATTTTACACAATATATAGTTTTATAACACTTTAATACATACTGTAATAGATCTTTAACTGATATGTTTTGAACATTTACATTTAATCTTTTTTTAATTTTATTATTATTATACTTTAAGTTTTAGGGTACATGTGCACAATGTGCAGGTTTGTTATATATGTATACATGTGCCATGTTGGTGTGCTGCACCCATTAACTCATCATTTAGCATTAGGTATATCTCCTAATGCTATCCCTCCCCCATTCCCCCCACCCCACAACAGTCCCCGGAGTGTGATGTTCCCCTTCCTGTGTCCATGTGTTCTCATTGTTCAATTCCAACCTATGAGTGAGAACATGCGGTGATTGGTTTTTTGTCCTTGCGATAGTTTGCTGAGAATGATGTAGATCTAAAGTAATGATAAAAATGATATTTAATCATTTTTATCATTACTTTAGATCTGCGTTTTAACATTAGTTTATTTTTTGCCCTATTTTTCAGTCTTCCATTTCTCCCTTTCTGCTTTCTTTTCTATTATTTAAATATTTTCAGAATTCTATCTTATCTATTGAATTTTTAGCTATATATTTATGTGTATATTCTATTCACAGTAGCTTGAGGAACTATAATATACTTAACAAATTTTACATAATCAACTTTGAAATAATATTTTATAATTTCAAATAACTGATAGGAAATTGTAAAATTAGAGGATCTTTCTGTTGATTTTCTATTTCCTAGAGAGTATCCCTGGTTCTTAGTATGGTGAAGAAGTTTGGAATATTTTTGCAGATGCCGCATAAAATGTATGAATATTTAAATACCATTTACGCATTTTAGAGACTTTAACTTTTTGTTTCAGCAGACAGGCAATCCATTGATGTGTGGACTGCACATGCTGGGCCAGTTTCTATAGGCTGATTCCAATGTAATTTTTTTGACCCTTTGCTGTGCTATTCTGTCACATCCAACTTGTGCTCCATGCAACAGATAGTCTGAAACTAGACGGTTGTCTATAATGTAGTCTAGTGGTCAAAATTTTTGTGCCGCTTATTCTATTCATATGTGCAGCTTATTAGGAATCCCAGGATTTCATAAAAGAACTCAAACAAATTTACAAAAAAAAAAAAAAAAAACATCAAAAACTGGGCAAATGATATGAACAGACACTTCTCAAAAGAAGACATTTATGTGGCCAAAAAACATGTGAAATAAAGCTCTTCATCACTGGTCATTAGAGAAATGCAAATCAAAACCACAATGAGACACCACCTCACACCAGTTAGAATGGCAATCATTAAAAAGTAAAGAAACAGGACGGGCACGGTGGCTCACGCCCGTAATCCCAGCACTTTGGGAGGCCAAGGCAGGTGGATCAAGAGGTCAGGAGATCAAGACCACACTGGCTAACATGGTGAAACCCCATCCCTACTATAAAAATACAAAAAAAATGTTAGCCAGGAGTGGTGGCAGGCACCTGTAGTACCAGCTACTCAGGAGGCTGAGGCAGGAGAATTGCATCAACCCGGGAGGCAGACCTTGCAGTGAGCCGAGATTGCCCCACTGCACTCCAGCCTAGGAGACAGAGCGAGACTCCATCTCAAAAAAAAAAAAAAGTAAAGAAACAACAGATGCTGGAAGGGATGTAGAGAAATAGGAAAACTTTTACACTGTTGGTGAGAGTGTAAATTATTTCAACCATTGTGGAAGAGAACATGGCAATTCCTCAAGGATCTAGAACTAGAAATACCATTTGACCCAGCGATCCCATTACTGGGTATACACCCAAAGGATTACTGGATAAAGAAAATGTGGCACATATACACCATGGAATACTATGCAGCCATAGAAAGGATCAGTTCATGTCCTTTGCAGGGACATGGATGAAGCTGGAAACCGTCATTCTCAGCAAACTAACACAGAAACAGAAAACCAAACACCACATGTTCTCACTTACAAGTGGGAATTGAACAATGGGATCATATGGACACAGGGAGGGGAGCATCACACACCCGGGTCTGTTGGTGGGTAGGGGTTAGGGGAGGGATAGCATTAGGAGAAATATCTAGTGCAGATGACAGATTGATGGGTGCAGGAAACCACTGTGGATTATGTATACCTATGTAACAAACCTGCACGTTCTGCATATGTATCCCAGAACTTAAATATAATAATTAAAAAAAGAATTTAAAATATCCCTTTTAATACAATTTCTTGTCTCTACTTTTTGATTCTGAGGTTCTGTCTTTCTTGTTGTACTAGCTAGAATACAGGATACAGTGTCTTTAACTTCTCTGATCTGTCCCTGGTATTTTGTCCTGCAGGATTCACCATCACCGAGCCTGTGGGAATTGAATTTTTGGGCTTTGTCTCTTTTACACACTTGTAGTTTTTGGCCTGCTCACAAAAATAGCACCCTGTTGAGGAAGGGGTAAGGTATCACTTCCATGCTGGTAAAAAGAGAAAGAAAACATTTATTTTCTGGTCATTAACTGGATTGGAAAGGGAAGTCCAAAGTGTCATCTCACCTGACATGGACTTCTTCTTCTCAACTCTAGCTAATAAAAGTAAACTTCTTTTTTTTTTTTTTTTGAGGGTAGAATGGTAGGGGGCAGTTTTTTCTGTCTATGCCCATTTGTAATTCTTCCTTCTTCTTTGAGGATACTACAGTGCCAAGTGTAGGATACACAGGTATTAAAGGAAAATAAAATTTGTTTTAAAAGGAAAAAATTATTTATTTCCTTCTGGGGTCATACTTTTAGGCCTATACATCTTATCCAGTTCCACTGCTTTGATTCACCTTCCAGAGTCCTCTAATGGTTGCACTGTATGTTTCTTTTCCCCCAAGATATTAAGATCATTCCATATGATGGAGTGAGCTTAGACTATCTAGATGGGGTCTAGAAATTGAATACATTCTGAAAGATGATTAAATGTCTAATTAAATTGCTTAAGCATGAGAAAATACTTAACATTTCACACTTTATAAAGTTTCATAACCCTAGAATGAAGACTCAAAGATAAATAAAAACTAAATTATGAATTGTGAATTTTGAGATTACAGTACAATTGTATTACTCTAATATTGTATTAGAATTCCTTCCAAAGAAAATATAATATAGTAAGATACATTAAAACAGAAAAAGGACCCTATGCTGAATGAAAAAGTCATATCATGTGATGCACAGTGACCCCAAAATATCAACAAACTAACTGCTCAGGAAATGCATATTGGCTTTTCTAAACTAGAGAGAACAAGAGATATTTCCCAGTGTTCGCTAGTAGAAGCAATGCCAACTGAATTGAGATTTTCACAATGATAATCTGGGTTCTGTTGATTATGTGCAACTTCAAAGGACAGGAATCATCTCTCAGTCCATCAGCTGCTGATTCTTCTCCAGGTCATATTTTATACAAAGTCCAAAAGTGGTAAATTATTTAACTGTTTAAAACTGTATCTCTGAGGAGCAAAATATTTTAGGCAAAAAAAATCTCAGCTTTAAGATAAATAAATATTATAGCAAGTCTTTTGGGACAAAATATTACATTCTTATTGTTACATATTATAAAAACTCTTATATTTGTTAATTTCATCAGGATTTTATTTTATCTTAAAACAATGATGCTCTATCTTGGTCATTACTAGCCTTCTTTCATGACCCAGCTGTGAAATATTTCTCAAAATCTATTGTTAGAATGAAAGTATTTTAAAATATTTACTGTATAAAAACTTGAAGCTAATACTATGTAATTAATAGACGTATTAGTGTGTGTGTGTGTGTGTGTGTGTGTGTGTGCGTGCACACACATTTAATAATTATTTTGGTTCCTGACTTCTTTTTAAAAATAATTTTACAACAGTTATTTTAATATCAGGAATATGAGTAATTCATTATAAAGTGACCATGAATTTTTCATGTTGTCTATATTCAGCCTGTGCATATGAGATATGGCAACTCTACTGGTACTGAATGCTTCCTTGACATTCACATATTTTAACATTGCTTTATATTTTATCTGAGAAAATATATTTTTTGAACATCACCTGCCTATTTTTGTGATATCAGATTCTCAAATGTTAATGACTCAAACTTCATAACTTGAATCCTGGATAGCGTGGTTGATTAGGAGTCAAGCAGTACTTTTCTGTGTGTTGGGAAAACTATAGAAATACTCTTTTCCTTTCTGTAAAGCAAATTCTATTGGGCACAATCAGGTTTTGTGAAGAAGGGTGAAAAAAGGGAGCCAGAGAATAATTTTAAAAGAACATAGAAATAGAAAATTTTAAAAATTAAGTAGAGACAAATAGGAAGAAAACTGGAAATCATACATAGAATGATCTCCTCAGTGTTTAATATTAATTAAGAACACATTTTAATTGTAAACTACTGCCTTTAAATCTCACTTTAAAGACTTCCAACCATACCCATACCAATACTACAGATAAGTAGGTAGCAAAACTATTAGGAAGAGGTCCAAGGTTAATTGTTCAGAATTGTTTTTAGTTTATGGTTTACAATAAAGGCATCTTAGACAAAGCAATAGTGTCTATGTCAACAATAGACTTTTACCCTTTGAAGTTAAATACATGGTTTTCCAGAGATAGTTACAAATTTGGTTATAGACTTTCCTAGGATTAAATTCAGAGATATAAGCTATGTTTACAACATTAATTTATATGTAGTGAATTAGCATAGTCTAACATGCTGAAATCAACTTGGGAATTTTGCTTAAAAATATGTTTTTTCTTGATTTAATTTTTTTTCTCTTAAAAGTGTTTATTTCTGTAGTATCATTGGTAGATATGATTTAGGTATAAGGTGAGCTTTTTTTAAATTTTATTATTATTATACTTTAAGTTTTAGGGTACATGTGCACAACGTGCAGGTTAGTTACATATGTATACATGTGCCATGCTGGTGTGCTGCACCCATTAACTCGTCATTTAGCATTAGGTATATCTCCTAAAGCTATCTCTCCCGCCTCCCCCCACCCCACAACAGTCCCCAGAGTGTGATGTTCCCCTTCCTGTGTCCATGTGTTCTCATTGTTCAATGCCCACCTATGAGTGAGAATATGCGGTGTTTGGTTTTTTGTTCTTGTGATAGTTTACTGAGAATGATGATTTCCAATTTCATCCATGTCCCTACAGAGGACATGAACTCATCATTTTTTATGGCTGCATAGTATTCCATTGTGTATATGTGCCACATTTTCTTAATCCAGTCTATCATTGTTGGACATTTGGGTTGGTTCCAAGTCTTTGCTATTGTGAATAGTGCCACAATAAACATACGTGTTCATGTGTCTTTACAGCAGCATGATTTATAGTCCTTTGGGTATATACCCAGTAATGGGATGGCTGGGTCAAATGGTCTTTCTAGTTCTAGATCCCTGAGGAATCGCCACACTGACTTCCACAATGGTTGAACTAGTTTACAGTCCCACTAACAGTGTAAAAGTGTTCCTTATTTTTAACCCAGCTATAGATAATAAACTTAGAAAATGGCTGAAATCATGAATTGTTTAAAAATATCCTTTTAAGCCAATTTTAATAAAATATCTCCTTCATTGCTCTTAACTCCTACTTTTTATGCAGCACAAGCTTCATAAAACACTTCTATTTGAATCATGCTTAATCCACACATCTGATTTTAAATTATCGATTTTCATGGTCGACATGGATGAGAACACTGAGGTATAAATTGGTTGAATAGCATATCCAATTGGAAACAGCTATCGGTTGGCAGAACAAAAACTTAAACCCAGAATTCTCACTTTAAACTTCATTCTCTCTGCCCTATACATTTTTTAATCCAAAGTAATGTTAATTCAAACTATGAATAAATTGTATTCATTAACTATAACTGAAAAATTTTGGGCATAACTCATTAGTACCTTTAAGAGAGGGTAAAGATTGGGTAACTGAGAGCAACCCCATAAGAAACTGGTGTCTTATGTAATCTAAAATACAATTATACTGATTTTGAAAATTGAAGGAAAGAATACTGAAGTGCAAAAGTGCGTATGTTAGCGAGTTCATTCTCAATATTATTTAAACAGGAGAAGAAATGTGATAGCTTGCTATGAAGTCATATTTTGGGACTCCTTGGTTCCCATTAGGTACTGAATTCCAAATCATTCCAGACATCCACAAGAAAATGTAAAGAGAGATGAGGATACTAAATAAAAGCATTATACAGCATAACTGGGAGTCAGCAGATAATAAAACTTAAATTGATTTATAGATAAGGGACGTGAATAATTGAAACCAGCTGAAAAAACTCCAAAGTCCAAATAGAAACTTCAGAAGCACCAGTAAAATAGTATCCTAGCAGTCTCAGAACACAGATGCAAGTACACCAGGAAAATTAGAGTTTTTTCATGAGTTGGAAATTATAGAAAACTGGTATGAGTGGGGGCCAATTTTTGCACTGGGTTGGGAGAGGCAATTTGGAAGGGGAATTTGTATTTGAAGACTTGAAGATGAAAGGAAATAATGTTAGAAATGTTGATAGACACAGCAACGTCCTTCCTCAAAATTAAAGTAAAATGAAATAAATGTTTTACTGTAAGATACTTTTTTACTGTATTTTAATAAATGTTTCTAAATAAATGTTTAATAAATGTATCTAAATAAATGTTTTACTGTAAGATATATATATATATATATGTGTGTGTGTGTGTTTGTGTGTGTGTATATATATATATGACGTTATCAGGTATTAACTCACACGATTACAAGGTCCCACAGTAGGCCCTCTGCAAGCTGAAGAGCAAGGAGAGCCAGTGTGAATCTCAAAACTGAAGAACTTGGAGTCCGATGTTTGAGGACAGGAAGCATCCAGCACAGGAGAAAGATGTAGGCTGGGAGGCTAGGCCATCTAGTCTTTTCACATTTTTCTGTCTGCTTTATATTCTAGTCACACTGGTAGCTGATTTTCACATTTTTCTGTCTGCTTTATATTCTAGTCACACTGGTAGCTGATTGATGGTGCCCACCCAGATTAAGGGTGGTTCTGCCTTTTCCAGCCCACTGACTCAAATGTTAATCTCCTTTAGCAACACCCTCACAGACACACCCAAGATCAATACCTTGCATCTTTCAATCCAATCAAGTTGACACTCAGTGTTAACCATCACAAGTTCACCCCTTGTCAACTTGAACAAATACACATCTCCTGAGATTATGTATAATCTTCAAATAAAGACAATAATAAGGTAACAATTACATCTAATATAATACAACTATCCTTTGTAGAATCGGAAACACACAAATCCCCAAACTGAATACTATTACATAAAGTTAACAATACTCAAATGCTGACATGAAGTCTGTAAATCTTATGTCACATGATAAAGGAAAAAGGAAATAAAATGAAGATATTTTCTTAGTACAAGTGTATATATGCACAAATATGTTTTTAACAAAAGAAGGAGGAAATACACATGACAATTACAGTCCTCATTTCTGCAGCTGGTCAAGTGGTCATAGCTGGTATTGACAACTACCTTTTTCTACTACCCATTCTGTATTCCCTTTGCCTTCAGCAAGCACCTTAGCAGGTCGTGTTTTTTTGTTTGTTTGTTTGTTTGTTTTTTACATGTGGAGTGACCCAAACCTTCATTCCTGAAGGGTCTAGGCCATTTGTAGTTCTGCCAGGATTGGGCTGTTGTAGTTTCCCATTGACCTTAATCACAGGGCATGGTAATATTAAGAGATGATTCTAATGCATCTCCTGTATTCCATACATATTCTTCCTTACTTCTGTTGTGGAGTAGTAGACTGATTTCATCTTGATAGTCCAGGACAATCACCCCCGCCAACACTGTAACTCCCTTCTTAGCCTACTGACTTAAAAGTAGGAGAAACCCAAAATATCCAGGTGGTAATCTTAACTTCAAGTTTAATGGAATTGTTGTGTCTCCTGGTAGCAGCATTCCTCCCTCCCAGTGTTCCTGTCATGGGAACAGGAAGCAAACACTTTGCTAGTGGATCACTAGGGGTGATGGTGAGGGGTGCCACTTCCACTTCCACCCCTTGATTCCTTGACCTGTAAATCCTGGCTATGAGAGAAACAGTACCATATATTGGATGCTGATTCAGAGCATACACAACCTTCTGGAGAACTTTGCCCCAGACTTGCAAAGTATTGTCACCTAGTTGGCGTTGTAATTGTGACTTCGAAAGGCCATTCCACTGTTCTACCAATCCAGCTGCTTCAAGATGATGGGGAACATTGTAAGACCAGTGAATTCCATCAGCATGAGCCCTCTGCTGCACTTCTTTAGCCGTAAAGTAAGTGCCTTGGTCAGAGGCAATGCTGTGTGGAATACCATGATGGTGGATAAGGCATTCCATGAGTCCATGAATTGTAGTCTTGGCAGAAGCATTGCATGCAGGATAGGCAAACCCATATCTGAAATGAGGGTATATTACAATGAGGACAAACTTCTGCCCTTTCCATGATGGAAGAGGGCCAATATACTCAATCTGCTACCAGGTAGCTGGCTGATCATCCAGAAGAATGGTGCCATATTGAGGGCTCAGTGGTGGTCTGCTGCTGATAAATTGGGCACTCAGCAGTGGCTGTTGCCAGGTCAACCTTAGTGAGTACAAGTCCATGTTGCTGAGCCCGTACATAACCTCCATCCCTGCCACCATGGGCACTTTGTTCATGGGACCACTGGGTGATGACAGGGGTGGCTGGAAAAAGGCTGAGCAGTATCCTCAGAACAAGTCATCCTATCCACTTGATTACTAAAATCCTCCTCTGCCGAGGTCACCCATTGATGAGCACTCACATGGGATACAAATATCTTCACAGTTTTTGACCACGCAGAAAGGTCCATCCACATAGCTCTTCCCCAAATTTCTTTGTCACCAGTTTTTCTCATGCTTCTTCCAAATCTCTGACCATCCAACCAAGCCATTGGCTACAGCCCATGAATCAGTATTTAATAGCACATCTGGCCATTTCTCCTTCCATGCAAAGTGCACAACCAGGTGCACTGCTTGAAGTTCTGCCCACTGGGAAGATTTCCCTTCCGTGCTGTCCTTCAGGGATGTCCTAGAAAGGGGCTGGAGTGCTGCAGCTCTCTACTTTCTGGTGGTACCTGCATATCATGCAGAACCATCTGTGAACCAGGCTCTAGTCTTCTCTTCCACTGTCAACTGATCATAGGAAACTCCCCATGAGGCCATCGGTGCAGGCTGGGGAAGAGAAGGCAGGGTGGCAGGAATAGACAATGGGCATTTGAGCCACTTCCTCATGTAACTTATTTGTGCCTTCAGGGCCTGTTCAAGCCCAATCGCATATATACCACTTCTGTTGATTATAGAATGCTACTGTGCATGACCCACTTTATGGTTAGATGCATCAGCTAGATAGGCAGTTCAGCTAGCATGGTGACATCATGACCCATAGTCAAATGCTCAGTTTCCACCAAAGCCCAGTAACAGGCCAAGTGCTACCTCTCGAAAGGAGAGTAGTTATCTGCAGAAGATGGCAGGGTCTTGTTCCAAAATCCTAGAGTCCTCTGCTGTGATTAACCTATGGGGGCCTGCCAAAAACACCAAACAGCATCTTTATCTGCCACTGGTACCTCAAGCACCATTGGATCTGCTGGGTCTTATGGCCCAAGTGGCATAGCAGACTGCCCAGCAGTCTGGAGCTGTTGTAGAACCTTCTGTTCTGAACACCACTCAAAACTGACAGCCTTTCAGGTCACTGGATAAATGGGCTGGAGTAACACACCCAAATGGAGAATGTGTTGCCTCCAAAATCCAGATAGGCCCACTAGGTGTTTTGTCTCTTTCTTGGTTATAGGAAGGGCCAAATGCAGCAATGTATCCTTTACCTTAGAAGGAGGGGCCAAATGCAACAATTTATCCTTTACCTTAGAAGGAATACCTTGACAGGCCCCATACCACTGGGCCCCTAGAAATTTTACTGAGGTAGAAGTTCCATGAATTTTAGTTGGAATTATTTCCCATCCTCTGGCATGAAATATCTCACCAGTAAGTCTAGTGTGTATGCTATTTCTTGCTCACTAGATTCAATCATCAAAATGTCATCAATTTAATCGACCAGTGTGTTACCTTGCAGAAGTGAACAGAGATCAAGGTCTCTCCGAATAAGATTATGACATAAAGCCAGAGAGTTGATATACCCCTGAGGTAGGACAGTATAAGTGTATTGCTGAAGGCAAATTGCTTCTGGTGGGCCTTGTAGACAGGAATGGAGAAAACAGCATTTACCAAGTCAATGGCTGCATACCAGGTACCGGGAGATGTGTTAATTTGCTCAAGCAATGAAACTCCATCTGGTACAGCAGCTGCAATTGGAGTCACCACTTGGTTAAGCTTACAATAACCCACTATCATTCTCAGAGACCCATCTTTCTTCTGCACAGGCCAAATGGGAGAACTGAATAGGCATGTGGTGGGAATCACCACCCCTGCGTTTTTCAAGTCCTTGATTGTGGCACTAATCATTGCAATCCCTCCAGTGATGTGATATTGGTTTTGATTTATTATTTTTCTACGTAGAGGAAGCTCTAATACCTTCCGTTTGTACTTTCCCACCATAATAGCCTTCACCCTACCAGTCAGGGAGGCAATGTGGGGGATCTGCCAGCTGCTAAGTATGTCTCTGCCAATTTTGCATTCTGGCACTGGGGAAATGACAACTGGATGAGCCTGGGGACCCACTGGACCCACTGTAAGTCAATCTTGAGCTAAAATTCCATTAATTACCTCACCTGCATAAGCCTCTACTTTAACTAGAGGACCACAGTGATGTTTTGGGTCTCCTGGAATCAATGTCAGCTCATATCCAGTGTCCAGTAGTCCACAAAATGTCTATCACATTTATTTCCCCAATGCACAGTTACCTCTGGGGAAGGATGGAGAAAGATTAACAGCATAAATTGTGGGTAGTGTAGTGGGATCCTTTCTCAAAGGGACCTGGCCTCCCCTGCATTCAAGGGGTTTTGGGTCTATAAACCAGCTCAAGTCTGGAAATTGATTGAGGGGTTGTGATTCTGTTTTTATAATTCAAATTAATTTTTTGTCCTTTTGACCTAGAAGTTTTCTGCTTATATAAATTAAGTATGAATGCAGTAGGCTTCCTATCAATTTCAATTCTAGGAACACCGTGATTAATTAGTCAATGCCAGATCTCTACATCAGTCAGACTATTCTGATTGCTGCTTTGCCTTTGCTGTCCATTATAGTAACTATATCCACCTTGCTTTTGATGGTTGAGTGCCGCCACTTGGCCCCTGGCACCTCAGGATCCAGTTATTCTTATTGTATTTAAATTTTGTAGTTGAGTGACTGTGGTTCCCACTATTAGATCTGACATACAGAGAAGAGCAATTACAGGGCTCTTCAAACATGTAGGTGCTGCACCCACAAATCTACTTTGCAAGGCATTAATTAAGGATTTATCTTCTGGATCCTCCCAGCTAAGATGAGTAGGTCCAAAGTGACTAATCCACTCCACCATCTCAATCTCCCTTAGGCTTTGGATCCCTTTCTCTACATTAAACCATAGTAAGATCAGGCATTTCCAGCTCACTCACAGTGGGCCATCTTTTAATCCATATTTCAGCTAACCAATCAAATAAACTATTAGAGCCTTTTTTAATTCCCTAAGCTGCAACATTAAATGCATTCTCTACTTAGTGGGCCCAAATCAATAAATTCAGCCTGATCCAACTCTATGTTCCTTCCACCATTATTCCACACTCTTAATATCCATTCCCATGCCTGTTCTCCAGATTTCTGCTTATATAAATTAGAAAACTCAAGCAGTTCTTTCCAAGTGTAGGACACATCTCCATGGGTCACACTCTCAACCTCACCTCTAGGGGTCTGCTGGGGCTTTAGTTTAGTTATAGGTCTAGAAGAAAACAAAGGTGTTGGGGGTGTCTCCCGAGGAGAAAGAATCAACATTATCTTGCGGCAATTGCCTCAGGGGAGGACATCATTGTTGTCTCAGGCAGCACAGGGTTTATGTCCTCAGACAAAGATAGAAAGGCTGATGGCAGCATGGGTCTAGGAGGGGATGTTGCTGCTACTGCGGATGGGGAAGCTGTGTCTTCTGACAGAAAAAGTTTCACCATAGTTTACAAACTCAGTGTCTCCAGCTTCATTAGGGTCCTCCCATATGTCTGTATTCTAAGTTGCAGTCTCACATTTTTTTTCCAATCAATGCCTTTACTTTAAGAGGAGACACCTAGTGAGACTGTGCATGCACCTTTCATTGCAGGTCAGCCACTTGCATAATAAGAGCTTGGGTTTGTTTTTACACAATTTCAACTGTTTCTCTACAGGAGATAAGACTCTCACTCAGGGCAATCTTAGCAGATTTGAGACTTAGTATCTACTTCTGAAGCTAGTAGTTAGAATCCCAGAGTTCATCATTTTCTTTCATCACTTTGTCCACTGAACGTAGGAGCAACCAACCAGCTTCATTATGTTCCTTGGTTCTTCACATATGGTTAAAGGTACTATGTGTAGAGTCACTAAACTCCTTGCCTCTCATGAGTGGTGAATCAGGAGTGTCAATGCATTTATTCTGCATAACTCTCTAAACAGTTCATGCCAAGGACTATCAGGGTTCTCCATACTATTAGAAGTAGAGTCCTTAGTATTTTTCAGTCTAATCATATTAATCAGCCAAGTACAGAAATCCCAAAACCAACAAAAGAACCCCAAACTTAATATTCTGTTCCTCTAGAACCACTCCTGGTATCAAAATCTGTATTAGTCACGGTTCTCTAGAGAGACATAATTAATAGGATATATATATATATATACATATATATATATATATATATATATATATATATATATATATATATGGGAGTTTATTAAGTATTAACTCCACATGATAACAAGGTCCTACAACAGGCCATCTGCAAGCTGAGGAGCAAGGAGAGCCAGTCTGAGTTCCAAAACTGAAGAACTTGGAGTTCGACATTCAAGGGCAGGAAGCATCCAGCCCAGGAGAAAGATGTAAGTGGGAGGATAGGCCAGTCTAGTCCTTTCATGGTTTTCTGCCTGCTTTTATCCTAGCCACACTGGCAGCTGATTAGATGGTGCTCACACAGATTAAGGGTAGATCTGCCTTTCCCAGCCCACTGACTCAAATGTTAATCGTTTTTGGCAACACCCTCACAGAAACACCCAGGATCAATACTTTGCATCCTTCGATTCAATCAGGTTGACATTCAGTATTAACCATCATGCCAACCAAGGAACATCAAAGATATTTAAAAATAAGGAATTACAATGAAAACTTTTCAGTTGCTGAAAACACTCTCCCAGCTCATCTCAGGGCATACAAAAACTATAGAAAAAAAATCTACATGAATAAAATCTCTATACATATTATTTACAGAGAGAAAATAATACCTCATTTTAGAAAGCCAGAAATCAAAAATAATTTAAAAATAACCCAGAAAATGGGAAGTAAAGGTGAGCCAAATAATTACATACTACAGAAGAGAAACAAAGAAAATCATACTAATAAAATTGAAGAAATAAAAGGTTAAAACAATGAAAGAAAAGTATTTCTAATCATAACTTTAAAAGTCTTACAGAAGTAAAAATATAAACTAAATCAGCATAATAAGAAATCTCTGAGATAGACCCAAAGAAATATAAATTGTTCTATCATAAAGACACATGCGTATGTTCACTGCAGCACTATTCACAATAGCAAAGACATGAAATCCACCTAAATGCCCATCAATAATAGGTTGGATAAAGAAAACGTAATACATATACACCATGGAATATGATGCAGCCATAAAGAAGAATGAGATCAATTTTCAAATTCTGCTGGCAAGATGGCCGAATAAGAACAGCTCTGGTCTGCAGCTCCCGGTGAGATCAACACAGAAAGTGGGTGATTTCTGCATTTCCTACTGAGGTACCCTGTTCATCTCATTGGGACTTGTTAGGCAGTGGATACAGCCCACAGAGGGTGAGTAGAAGCAGGGTGGGGCATCACCTCACCAGGGAAATAAAAGGAGCAGGAGAGACTCCCTTTCCCAGCCAAGGGAAGCTGTGAGAAACTGTGCTATCCAGCTCAGATCCTACACTTTTCCCATGGTCTTTGCAATCCACAGACCAGGAGATTCCCTCATGTGCCTACACCACCAAGGCCCTGGGTTTCAAGCACAAAACTGAATGGCTGTCGGGCAGACACTCAGTTAACTGCAGGAGTTTTTTTGTTATTGCTCCCCCCTGCCAATCCACCCCCAGTGGCGCCTGGAACCCCAATGAGACAGAACCATTCACACCCGTGGAAAGGTGGATGAAGCCAGGGAGCCAAGTGTTCTCTCTCAACAGGTCCCACTCCCACAGAGCCCTGCATGCTAAGAATCACTGGCTTGAAATTCTTGCTGCCAGCATACCAGTCTCAAGTCGACCTGGGACAATCAAGCTTGGTGTGGGGATTGGGAGGGGTGTCTGCCATTACTGAGGCTTGAGTAGGTGGTTTTCCCCGACCATGCTAAAAAGGCCTGGAAGTTGGGACTGGGTGGAAATCAACAAAGTGCGGGAAAGTGGCTGTGGCCAGACTGCCTCTCTACATTTCTCTTCATTGGGCAGAGCATCTCTGAAATAAAGGCAGCAGCCTTAGTCAAGGGCTTATAGATAAAACTCCCATCTCACTGGGACAGAGCACCTGGGGGAAGAGGCGGCTGTGGGAATAGCTTCAGTGGACTTAAACATTCCTGCCTGTTGGCTCTTAAGAGAGCAGAGGATCCAGACAAGGAGAGTTCTGCCAGCCTAGTGCTTGAGCTCTGCTGAGGGACAGACTGCCTCCTCAAGTAGGTCCCTGATCCTGTACCTCCTGACTAGAAGAGACCTCCCAACAGGGGTTTACAGACACCTCATAGGAGATCTATGGCTAGCATCAGGCCAGTGCACCTCTGGGACGAAGCTTCCAGGGGAAGGAGCAGGCAGCTGTCTTTGCTGTTCTGCAGCCTCTGCTGGTGATACCCAGGCTAAACAGGGTCTGGGGTGGACCTCCAGTGAACTGCAGCAGACCTGCAGAAAAGGGGCCTGTTAGAAGAAAAACTAGCAAACAGAAAGCAATAACATCAACATCAACATCAACAAAAAACTCCCACACAGAAACCCCAACCAAAAGTCATCAGCCTCAAAGATCAAAGGTACATAAATCCATGAAGATATGGAAAAACCAGGCAAAAATGCTGAAAATTCCAAAAACCAGAATGCCTCTTCTGGTCAAAACTCCTCTCCAGCATTGGCACAAAACTGGACGAGAATGAGTTTGACGAATTGACAAAAGTAGGCTTCAGACGGTGGGTAATAACAAACTCCTCTGAGCTAAAGGAGCATGTTCTAACCCAATGCGAGGAAGCTAAGAACCTTGACAAAAGGTTACAGGAAATGCTAACTATAATAACCAGTTTAGAGAAGAACATAAATGACCAGGTGGAGCTGAAAAACACAGCACGAGAACTTTGTAAATTATACACACGTATCAGCAGCTGAATTAATCAACAGGAAGAAAGGATATCAGAGATTGAAGATCAACTTACTTAAATGAGGTGTAAAGACAAGATTAGAGAAAAAAGATTGAAAAGGAATGAGCAAAGCCTTCAAGAAATATGGGACTATGTGAAAAGACTAAATCTACTGTTGATTGGGGTCCTTGAAAGTGATGGGGAGAATGGAATCAAGTTGAAAAACAGACTTCAGGATATTATCCAGGAGAGCCCCACACTGCAAGACAGGCCAACATTCAAATTCAGGAAATACAGAGAACACCACTAAGATACTTCTTGAGAAGAGCAACCCCGAGACACATAATCATAAGATTCTCCTAGTTTGAAATGAAGGAAAAAATGTCAGTGGCAGCCAAAGAGAAAGGTCAAGTTACCAAGAGAAAGGTCAAGGGAAGCTAATAGACTAACAGCAGATCTCTGCAAAAATCCTACAGCCAGAAGAGAGTGGGGGCCAATATTCAACATTCTTAAATAAAAGAATTTTTAACCCAGAATTTTATATTCAGCCAAACTAAGTTTCATAAGTGAAGGAGAAATAAAATCCTTTATAGACAAGCAAATGCTGAGGGCTTTTGTTACCATCAGGCCTGCCATACCAGAGGTCCTCAAGGAAGCACTAAATTTGCAAAGGAAAAACTGGTTTCAGCCACTGCAAAAACACACCAAAATACAAAAACCAATGACCCTATGAAGAAACTGCATTAACTGATGTGCAAAATAACCAGCTAGTATCATGATGACAGGAACAAATTCCCACATAACAATATTAACCTTAAATGTAAATGGACTAAACGCCCCAGTTAACAGACACAGACTGGCAAATTGGGTAAAGAGTCAAGACCCACTGGTGTGCTGTATTCAGGAGACCCATCTCATGTGCAAAGACACACATAGGTTCAAAATTAAAGGATGGAGGCATATTTACCAAGCAAATGGAAAGCAAAAAGAAGCAGGGGTTGCAAATCTTGTCTCTGATAAAACAGACTTTAAACCAACAAAAATCAAAAAAGACAAAGAGGGGCATTGCATAATGGTAAAGGGATCAATGCAATACAAAGAGCTAACTATCCTAAATATATACACACCCAGTACAGGAACACCCAGATTCATAAAACAAGTTCTTAGAGACCTACAAAAAGAATTAGACTCCCACACAATAATGCTGGGAGACTTTAACACTCCACTGTCAATATTAGATCAGTGAGAGAGAAAATTGACAAGGATATTCAGGACTTGAACTCAGCTCTGGACCAAGTAAACCTAATAGATATCTACAGAACTGTCCACCCCAAATCAACAGAATATACATTCTTCTCAGCAGCACATAGCACTTATTCTAAAATTGACCACATAATTGGAAGTAAAACTGCAAAAGAATGGAAATCATAACAGACAGCCTCTCACACCACAGTGCAATCAAATTAGAACTCAGGATTAAGAAAGTCACTTAAAACTGCACAACTACATGGAAACTGAACAACCTGCTCCTGAATGACTACTGGGTAAATAATAAAATTAAGGCAAAAATAACCAAGTTCTTTGAAATCAATGAGAACAAAGACACAATGTACCAGAATCTTTGAGACACAGCTAAAGCAGTGTTTAGAGGGATTTTTATAGCACTCAATACCAACATCAGAAAATGGGAAAGATCTAAAATAGACACCCTAACATCATAATAGAAAGAACTAGAGAAACAAGAGCAAACAAATTCAAAAGCTAGCAGAAGACAAGAAAGAACTAAGATCAGAGCAGAACTGAAAGACACAGAGACACAAAAAACCCTTCAAAAATATCAATGAATCCAGGATCTGTTTAAAAACAAAACAAAACAAAACAAAACAAAAAACTAACAAAATAGACCACTAGCCAGATTAATAAAGAAGAAAATAGAGAAGAATCAAACAGACCCCAATAGAAAATGATAAAGGGGATATCACCCCTGATCCCACAGAAAGACAAGCTACCACCACAGAATACTGTAAACACCTCTACACAAATAAACTAGAGAATCCAGAAGAAATGAATAAATTTCTGGACACATATGCCCTCCTAAGACTAAACCAGGAAGAAGTCAAATCCCTGACTAAACCAATGATAAATTCTGAAATTGAGGCAGTAATTAATAGCCTACTAACCAAAAAAAAAAACCCAGGATTAGATGGATTCAGAGCCTAATTCTACCAGAGGTAGAAAGAGGAGCTGGTACCATTCCTTCTGAAACTATTTCAAACAACAGAAAAAGAGGCACTCCTCCCTAACTCACTTTATGAGGCCAGCATCATCCTTATTCCAAAACCTGGCAGAGACACACACACACAAAAGAAAATATCAGGCCAATATCGCCGATGAACATCGATGTGGAAATCTTCAATAAAACACTGGCAAACCAAATCCAGCAGCACATCAAAAAGCTTATTCACCATGATCAAATCAGCTTCATCACTGAGATGCAAGACTGGTTCAACATACGTAAATCAATAAACATAATCCATCACATAAACTGAACCAATGACAAAAACCACATGATTACCTCAATAGATGCAGAAAAGGCCTTCAATAAAATTCAACATCTCTTGGGCTAAATCTCTCAATAAACTAGGTATCGATGGAACATATCTCAAAATAATAAGAACTGTTTATGACAAACCCATAGCCAATATCATACTGAATGGGCAAAAACTGGAAGTGTTCCCTTTGAAAACTGGCACAAGACAAGGATGTCCTCGCTCACCACTCCTATTCAACATAGTATTGGAAATTCTGGCCAGAGCAATCAGGCAAGAGAAAGAAATAAAGGGCATTAAAATAGGAAAAGAGGAAATCAAATTGTCTCTGTTTGCAGATGACATGAGTGTATATTGAGAAAATCCCAACGTCTCAGCCCAAAAACTCCTTAAACTGATAAAAACCTCAGCAAAGTCTCAAAATACAAAATCAATGTGCAAAAAAATCACAAGTATTCCTATACACAAATAACAAACAAGCAGAGAGCCAAATCAAGAGTAAACTTCCATTCACAATTGCTACAAAAACATAAAATACCTAGGAATACAACTTACAAGGGATGTGAAGGACCTCTTTTGGGAGAACTATAAACCACTGCTCAAGGAAACAAGAGAGGACACAAACAAATGGAAAAACAATCCATGCTCATGGATAGGAAGAATCACTATCGTGAAAATGGCCATACTGCCAAAAGTAACTTAAAGATTCAATGCTATTCCCATCAAGCTACCATTGACGTTCTTCACAGAATTAGAAAAAAACTACTTTTAAGTTTCATTTGGAACCAAAAAGAGCCGTATAGCCAAGACAATCCTAAGCAAAAAGAACAAAGCTGGAAGCATCATGCTACCTGACATCACACTATACTGCAAGGCTACAGTAACCAAATCAGCATGGTGCTGATACCAAAACAGATATATAGAGCAATGGAACAGAACAGAGCCCTCAGAAATAATACTACGTATGTACAACCATCTGATCTTCGACAAACCTGATAAAAAACAAGCAATGGGGAAATAATTCCCTATTTAATAAATGGTGCTGGGAAATCTGGCTAGCCATAAGCAGAAAACTGAAACTGGACCCCTTCCTTACACCTTATACAAAAATTAACTTAGGATGGATTAAAGACTTAAACATAAAACCTAAAAGCATAAAAACCCTGGAAGAGAACCTAGGCAATACCATTCAGGACATAGGCATGGGCAAAGACTTCATGAATAAAACACCAAAAGATGTTGCAACAAAAGCCAAAATTTACAAATGGGATCTAATTAAACTAAACAGCTTCTGCTCAGCAAAAGAAACTACCATCAGAGTGCACAGGCAACCTACAGAATGGGAGAAAAATTTTACAATCTATCCATTTGACAAAGGGCTAATCCAGAATTTACAAAGAACTTTAACAAATTTACAAGAGAAAAACAATGCCATCAAAAAGTGAGCCAGTGTACTTTATAGATACAGTGTAACACACTTTTATTTATTTAGGATGGCATTTTGTTTTGGTTTCTTTGCACAACTAATTTTCAATACTTAAAAAAAGTTTCTGTATAGCTTGTTATGGGCAAAATCTTGTAACAAATTATACCTATTCTGAAAAAAACTACTTTAAAAATATTAAAGAAGAAATTTAAAAGAAATAACACGAACATTTTATTTAGACATTAAAAGATGTTGACATTAAAAGCTGTTAAACAAAATAAGTATGGTTTAGGATTAAAAAGCTCAGTGTTGTTTTTAAACATTTGAAACAACTTCATTAAAAATTCAGAATGTGTAAAAACCTGTTAAAGGACAGTGGTAAATTTGAGATATAAGAAAGCTCCCTGATGGGGACAGAGAAAGGAGGAAAATATATGCTTTATGTCATTGGTAGTAAATAAGAAATATGAATTTATCAATTGTGAAAGCATCTATGGCTGTTCATATATTTTGGATTCTAGGAGAACAAAACAGTGAAAGATTTATTGTTGGTTTTGTTGTTGTTGTTGTTTGCTGTGTTGGTAACCGCATCTAAAATAATCTAATGTTCATCTTGTAAAATATATCTTCAGGCAATAACTTGAGGAACCACGTGAGTGCTAAGACTTGCCTCAAGATCAATAATTCTTTGCAATGTTCTAGCCATGGAGCCTGGGAATAGTGGGGGGAGGAATAATGTGCAATCAAACAAAAGGGTGGGACAGTATCTTGTATCAGAAAGAATAAAGAAGAACATTTTGGCTATTCCATTAGCAGAGATTCCAACAGCAGCTGGAGATCTGGGTAATACTAGAATTATCTAACAATAACTGCAAAATGCACAAATTCGTTTACAAAAGGTTTAATGTTTCTATTACGCAGATAAACTGACAGAAGAGTAAGAAACTTTTTGTTGACTTGTTCCTGATAAGTTATTTATTATAATGTTTTTTTTTTACATAAATGCTTCAAATTTCAAGTAGCTTTACTTTTAGTGTTTGCATTTTTTTCTAGTAATTTACAGTTTTCCAGTACCCTACTAAATTGTATACAAATATCACTATACCTGATTTATCAGTAAAAATAAGAATGACAGAAACATAAAACTACATTTAAACTTAGAGTTATTGTGCAACCTGACTTTGTCTTTAATTGTTATCATCAATATTTTTGTTTCATTTGCTTTCATAGAAATTTATTTTTTTCTGTGGCACAAGTAAAAATTTTGAAAAATGCATCATCATTTAACATAGTTATCTTGGAAAGGTAGTAAATGTTTATTAATACGACATCATCTTATTATTAAATTCCCGACTGTGAAGAAAAGTACTTCTATGCAAAATGAATAAGATAGAAATTTTCTACCTAAAAATTTTGAAGAATGTATGTCATCTTAGAATATCTGTGCAGTAAACTGCCATGGGACAGGTTTACCTATGTAACAAAACTGCACGTCCTGCACATGTACCCCAGAACTTAAGATAAAAGTTAAAGGGGCAAAAGAATATTATAGATATTAATGAATAACTATTACACTCAATGGCATAGTAAGAAATCTTTAAATGGCTGTCAAAAATAAAAAATAAAGAAAGAAAACCTGAGTTTACTCTTATTTCTACAAATTCTGCTACCATGGCATATTTCAAACTACCAATTTGGCATTCCTGAAAACTGAGTTGGAAAGAGTTGTGCCCAATTGGCTCCAGTGACCTGGTGGGATCCAGCTCCAGGGCATCAATGATTGTATCTCAGCAAACTTTGGAAGATACACCATAAATTTTATATAATAGAGGTTAAATAAATGTTTATTAAATCAAGTAAAATATGGTGGTTTTAAAATTACACTTTATAATTGCAAGTGTAGATTTTAAAGTGTGTCATCAATTAAGTAAATAATTCACTGTAATTTAATACTTCTTCCAATACATTTGAACACTTCTTCCACTATATATATGATTAATAAGACTCAAGACTTGCCACTTTCCTTGAAGAATCTCTAAGGGAACAACTTTCAGTTCTGGTTTTGCAATATATATGTTCTCTCTCACCTTTATACCAATCTATCCATATGGTCTAAATAGATACTTTTTTCTTTTGTTTTTCTTTCTCTATGTTTACATATATCCTTAATGTATACCCAATCTGTTTCTTGCATACACTTAATACACATCACTTTGGATTATATATATATATATATATATATATATATATATATATATATACACACACACACACATACATATACATTTACTTCTATAATTTTTATATATATATACACACACACACACACATATACACTTATCTGTACTGATTCATGCCATTACCAATGCCTATTCCTTCCCCTTTGTTTATTAAGGTCAAGCATTTTTATCATGATGTCAAGCTTGACTTATTCACAATTAGAGCTAAACAACCTGAAAAATGAATTAGGTATATTTAATGCATAATATACACTGATTTCTTCTAAAATATAAAGGTGAATATTAGATTTTTTGCTATTTTTATAAAAGGTAAAAGTTAAGTATAATGAAGTCTCCAAGCCCTTAAAGTGATTGTTCAGAGGATGGCAATGGAAATAAAAGGGAAAAATAAAACTTCAAATTTCTGGTGCAAGAGATAAAATTTGTCAATCCACAATTTAGTTTTTTGATGGCTACCTACATGGAGTCAGAGATCGATCAGAGGATAAACATTTCTATTCTCTAATTATTTTGTTCTACTTACAAATTAATTGAAGGAAATTTAATGAAATGCAGAAAACAAAGAAAGGACAATTAATATAAGGGCAAAGACAGAAATCTGTTTCAGGCTAAGAAAAGAGATAAAAAAAACAGAGTTTGGCATAAGAGAGTTACCACAATTAGTCAGTTTCATAGTGTGCGAAACAAACAAAAACATGTGATGCATACTCTCTTTGAAAGAAAAGTACCATTTTATTTGTCAATTCAAAAATAATATAACTTTTTCTCATGGCCTAATTCAAGGCAATTTTCCTTGGAAAATCTTTAGGTAAGTGTCATCTGTGAATTAAATATTACCACTTAATTATTTGTTCATATAAGTTTGCAATAATAGCTTGCATTATATCTTAGGGCAATATTCATATATGATATTTATTAGCCCAGTCCTAAAATTTCCTAATCACCAGTAAAACCACACCTCTTGTCTTCAATGAGAAAACAGTAAATAAGATTTACAGAAATAAAAAGAACTTGTATTTCTAAAAAGCAATTTTTCATTGTGATCAGAAATATTTCTGATGATAAGCACCTTTGCAAAATTGAAAAAATGTTGTGTTTTTTTTTTTTTCAGGTTCTCCCTCTGACCTCTGAGTCCATGTAGTCAATGGGCAGCCATGAGAAGTTTATGGAGCCATGTGAAAAACATTTAGTCGAGCAATGTGTACCAAATAATACAGTTTGGAAGGGCTTGGAGAAACATGTGAGGTCAAAACAGAGTTGACTCCACAGAATACTATGAAATACAATAATCAATTTTTGTCTTCAGCCATCTACTTTTATTTATTTCATGCTGCTTTGACTCTCTCCTCCTCATATCACAGAAGTCTTTCCTTCTCATAGGTACTACTAAAATATTGCCTGAGCATTTTGATCTCCAGCCAGTTGAATTCTTTGTAATGTTTTTTAGTGTTTCAGTGTTGGCTATGAAGGCATCCAAATATGGTGGAAAGAGCACTGAGCTAGAGGTCATTTAGTGCAGTGTGTGCCCATTTGGTTGGACCTCAAAAAATGATAATGTATCAAAAGTATTTAAAAGTAAAAGAAAAATAAAACTGGACACAGAATTGGGAAAACTCTGTAATGCAAGATATAGGGGAAGGAAGAAAGTATATCTATTTTATGGAGCAGTTTCTGAATGCATAGCAACATCTACATGCATCTACTACTGTCCATTGACCAGAACATGGTGGTGTTGAAACATGGTGACACAGAATCCAGGAGTGAGCAGTATCATGCAAGGCAGGCTAGCAGAAGGTCAGTCCACTTCAAAAAATTCTATCAGTATATATTTGACATCAGGCTAACCCAGTGAGTCCAAAAATTGAATTTTGATTACTTGAAAGAATAGTAAGAAAAATTAGCAAGGCTGCAGTTCAAAAGCAACCAGAATACTTGGGAGGTATCTAGATATGGAACAGGACCATAGCATAACTATTCAATTAAGCAATTTAGAAATATAAAAATTAATTTCAGAGGTTAAGAACCAGTTGGAAGCTGCAAGAAGAAGAGTTTAGTGCTAATTGTTATAGAATGAAAGCTACGTGATCTAGGTCTGTAAGATATAGGACATTCATTTAAATTTGATTTTTAGATAAACTTTTAATAATTGCAATATTGGAGACATATTCATATTTAAAAATCCATTGATTATCTGATTCAAATTTAACTATCTTACCTGTATTTTTATTTGTGAACTCTGCCAGTCCTAATTTAATGACAACTGCATGTGAGAAACTAGACTTGTACATTGCTTTGATATGCAAGAAAGACAATCTTAGACCAACAAGGGTTTGGAATTTCACATTTTTGTCTGCTGCTTGGCCATGATTGTTTGTCATAAGACCAAAAGGCATCTTAGGATTCTTTAAGCCAGATTAGTTAATAAATGTACCAAAATTATTTGCCACAAAGAAAATATGGATCAAAAGGGAGGAAAAAGGCTAATATTATATTTTAACATCTTGAAAAATACCACTAATAGCCTGACATTTTTGTAGTTTATGGGCAGAAATGCAAAGCAAAATAAACCATTAAATTTAAATTAGAATGCCTCTAACCTTTCCTAGCTATGTTATTTTAGGTGGCTGCTTCATCTCTTTTTTCCTCAGTATACTTACACAAAGAGAATAATGATAATATTAATAAATATTAATAATGACAATATATTTCATTGGATTGTTGTAAGAATCAAGTTAATGGATGATAAGTGTATAGAGTAATTTCTGGCACATACTAAATACTCAATACTCAATAACCATTAGCTAGTACTTAATGTGCTCTTTATTCCAGGCATTGTGATAGGTATGTTTCAATATATTGTAGCTAAACTTGTTTTTAAACAACCCTGAAAATAAGGACAGTTAATGCCCTTAAACTTCTTCTTATATGGAATCATCAGTATGTACTCATGAGTATCTAAATATAGTAACAGTTAAATGTTGAAACATTTATAGTTATGTGTATAGATACACATTATTATGCACACACATATTATCCATGTGCTGAGAGTACAGAGGGACTAAAAGCAACAAAACATTAGTAGTAACAAGCATTCCTAGGTCCCAGATTTTCTAACATCATCTCCAATAAAAGGAACCAGGCTCCTTGAAGAAACGGCTAATTCTTCTGGGACTAGAGAAATTTAAAAATGAGTCTGGTATCTTGTAGTGCCAGAAAAGTAGGAAGACCTCAGTAAAAGGGAGGGGGAAAGAAGTAACATAATGATAGGACATATCAAAGAGACACCAACAAACTGAAAGAACTTCCAAGAGGAAAAGCTACAAGAGACCGAGTGTGGTGGCTTATGCCTGTAATCCCAAAACTTTGGGAGGCCAATGTGGGAGGATCACTTACATCCAGGAGTTTGAAACCAACCAGCTTGGTCAACATAGCAAGCCCTTGTCATTACAAAAAATGAAAAGCTGGAACAATTTAAGCAATAAAATAAAGAGTGTTGGAGTGTAATTCAAAGTATAAATGAATATGCATAATTCAGTATTGATACAAATATATAATTGGCTACATAAATAAAGGGAGAGGAAGACGCAAGTCACCATTACCAAATAATTTCAAATAATTTATGGAGATCGAATAAAACTCTTCTCTCTTTAGGTCAGGGCTCTACATAGTGACTTCCTTCCAAAGAGTGCAATTTAAATGGTTGGGATATACAGAACTTTATTATGGAGAAACCTGAGCAATGCTACCTTAGGTGCTCAAAGTTGACATCAGCCATGGTAACTCATGTTGATTTTATGTACCTCTGATTTGATATAATGAGAATGACAATTCACCTCACCAAAATTGATCTTTGCAGTCTAATAATGATTAAAAACATCAAACGAATACCAAGTGGAGCATTAAAAATACCTGTTCCACATGCCTTAAAACTTCCAAGTTCATTAAAAACAAGGAAAGTCTGAGACACTGTTACAGCCAAGAAGATTCTAAGGAAACATGATGTGTACATGTAATGTGATATTTTGGATGTGACTATGGAACAGAAAAAGAACATTATATAAAAATGAAAACAATCTCAATTAAGTATGGATTTGCATTAATTACAAAGTGTTAATATATTTTCAGTAATTATGAACAATATACCATAATACTGTAAGATACTAAATAATACGTGAAATTAAGTGTGGGATATATGAAAATTCTGTTCAATCTCACAATTTTATGTAAACATTAAAGTATCCTATAAAGCACTTATTTAAAAATCTACATATGAGTATATAGCTCATCTATATTTGAGTATATAAGTTTATGATAGATAGATATATAGATCATAGTTAACACAGACCATAGGTTTGAATACTCTAACACATTAAACAAATGACATCATTCACTACATACTATTCTAATTCTCAATCTTTTCAAACAAGCAACATTTTGGCAAAAAAAAAAAAAAAACAATTATTTTGATTCCACGTGGATATATGTGGCTATGTGATATTCGTTTTAAAGAAATGTGATTGTAATGGCCCTGTAGTAATTTTTTCCCCTTCTTATTTTGATGCATCTTTAAATTGCTGTTAATATTTTTACTAAGTAACAGAAAATACTCATCTACAACCTAGCTGAATATTACTAAATAGCACTTAAATGTGTGCTCCCACAAAACGTGTATAGGTGCTCCTACTTCTCCAAAGCATAGCCAAAATGGAGTTGTTAGATTTTTAAAAATACTTTCATTTTAATGCATGTGACATAGTATCTCAATTTCTTTTATAAATCATGGTCCTTTGTATTTTGCGGGGCAGATTCCCTACACATTTCCTACTCATTAATTTTTGTCATATGTTTATGTATTTGACAGTATATATGCTAGACAATTATATATTCAAGATTCTAGTATTTGTCAGTTTTGCATGTTGTAAGCGTATATACTGCCTGTTGCTTGTTTATTCATATCACTCATACTGTATTTGTGGTTTTGTTTGGGGTGGTAATAAAATTTATCTTGGAATGTTATTATAAAGTTTGAGTAATTTTACCCACCTAGAATTTTCTCTAGTGTGAGTTAACATCAACATCCAACCTCCTACCCTTCATATACTTTATAGAACAGTACATTCCTTCCATGCTGGTTTATAATTCTACTATGTCATAAATTAATATTTAAAAGAGAGAGAGAGTCTCATATATATTGCCTATCATATATACATATATATTTAATACAATATCCTATGTATGTGTGTATGTGTGTCTATCTATCTATCTATCTATCTATCTATCTATCTATCTATCTATCTGTCTATCTATCTATCTATAGCTGGACTTTCTAAGATGTTTAATTGGCATAGTTGTTTATCCCTGAGGCCATAAGAGACATAAAATATTAGATTTAGAATTTTGGCTCTGTCACTGAATACTTTGTAATACAGGGAAATTTTATTATCTATTAAGTGAACAAATAGTAATGTATTTTTATTATTTTCAAGAGCAATTTAAATTAATATCTAGAGGTCTAATGTACTTCATGCATCACAGCAACTATTCAATAAATAAAGTTTTTTTAACCCACTAGTCTTTGAAATCACGTTATATTGGACTATATTACATTATTTCCTTCTCTTTCATGTATTAGGAAGTATAGACAGCACACGTGCAAGGGAATCACAAAAGCACATATGATAGAAAGATGAACATATTCCTATGTGATGATTTGGAGTAAGGAATTTCTATTTTCTCATACTTCCTAGATAATTGTAATATGTAGAAAGAATAAAAAGATTACCATAGTCACTAGAAGGGTTTGGTAGAAATAAAGAGAAGAACCATTAGTTGAAAACTGTGACAGAGGGATACAGGTTAAATTAATGTATATGCCGTCCTGGCGCAATCACGCCTGTAATTCCAGCACTTTGGGAGGCCGAGGCGGGCAGATCACCTGAGGTCAGGAGTTTGAGACCAGCCTGGCTAACATGGTGAAACCCCGTTTCTACCAGAAATACAAACAATTTGTCAGGTGTGGTGGTGCATGCCTGTAATTCCAGCTACTCGGGAGGCTAAGGCAGGAGAATTGCTTGAACCCGGGAGGCAGAGGTTGCAGTGAGCCAAGATCGCACCACTGCACTCCAGCTTGGGCAACAAGAGTGAAACTCCGAATCAAAATAATAATAATAATAATAATGTATATGCTAAATGTTGATCAAAAAGGTAGCATGGCAGTGAGGTAAGGAAAAATAGATAATTTGGAATTTATTTTCTTTATAATTCTATTTATTTCATCTTATATAACATGAAGTAATGTTGTTAGTAGCAAATTAGTTTGAAGTAATTTATCTTCCTCATAAGTTAAATATTTTACACTTCTTGAACCCCATATTTATCCCTAATTTATTTACCCTAAAATCTATATTTTCTGTTATTTGTATAACACTAGCTTAGCCAACTCCAGAGACACTGAAGATACTAGGCAAGAACAACACTTCTACCCCATCACACATATACACATCTTGCATAATTAACAAGTTTCCCACATATTGGAAAGATTCTTGGATTCTTTCCCATGTATAGCTGCAATTTTTAAAGAATTCTTATTTTTGATTCATATAACAAATGCAGAAACTAAGGTGCTCCTAAAAACCAAGAAACACAGATTTTTGCCATTTCTGCCACCCATTTACAAAGATGGCTATCAGTTTTCCCCGGTGCTTTGCACTCTAGTACAGCAGTGCCCTTGTTTTATATTTCAAATTCTGATACAAAATAATGTTGAAATGACTGAGGGGAATCATTTGTAGCAGTTTTATTAACTCACATTGGAGAAAATAGCAAAATAAATCAACAAAGCAAATGTGTACTAAAGCAAGTGCAAACAACACTTATGAATGATGAAAGTAATGGCACAGGATCTAAAGCTACTTATCTCTATAATGACTTTTTAATAGCAATTCTAACACCTGCCCATTGAGGGTGAATGGAAACAAAAGTCACCTCTGAACAATCCTCTTTTCATTAGTATTTATGCCTGTGGTTTAGAAAAGGTCCTAGTTTATGGTATGTATTTTTAGATGTAAAATTTTCTGAAGTTTGCTTTGTTTTGCTTCCTGTGAAAATCATGAAATTATATGAGTTTCCTTTTGCTAAAAGAACCATTTTCACAGGTGGCAAACAGAGATATTTTTACCTATATTTTCCACTTTCAATATTGCGTCCACTATTATAATTGTGACTTATTCCAAAAAACAGCAAAAACAAATCATGTACATGTTTGTTTTTACACTCATCAGTTATAATTTGTTGACATGCACATATTATGTGAAATAACTGTACATAATTTCCTAAGGAGTGACTGTAAAATTTGCAGAAAAGCTGAGCACCATGTTCTAAATGAGTCCATGAGTCCTCATTTGATGTCTGCAAGCAAGTTTCCTATGCAGATGTTTCCCCTGCTACTCCCTGAAAAAAAATACCATATATACATACAACACACACACATATACACATATGTATACAGACTCACACATAAACATGTATACCTCATTTTGTTGTGCTTCAGTTTATTTCGTTTTGCAGATACTCCGTTTTTTTAAAAAAATAGAAAGTTGGTGGCAACCCTGTGTAGAACAAGCATATCAGAGACATTTTTTTAACAGCATGGGCTTACTTAGTGTCTACGTCTCATGTTTTGGTAATTCACAATATTTCACACTTTTTCATTATTATTATATTTGTTATGCTAATATGTGATCGGTGACCTTTCATGCTACTATTGTAATTGTTTTGGAGTGCCATGAGCCATGCCCACATAACATGGCAAAGTTATTCAATAGATGATGTGTGTGTTCTGACTGCTTCATTGACTAGCCATTCCCCTATCTTGTTTCCTCTCTTCAGGCCTCACTATTCCCTAAGACATAATAATGTTGAAATTAGGCCAATTAATAACACTTCAGTGCCCCCTATGTCTTAAAGTGAAAGAAAAGTTGCACGTCTCTCACTTTAAATCAAAAGCTACAAATAAGTTCAGCAAGAAAGGCATGCCAGAAGTCAAGATAGGCCAAAAGCTAGACCTCTTGTGCCAATTAGCCAAGGTATGAACTCATAGGAAAAATTCTTAAAGGAAATTAAAAGTGCTACTCTAATGAACACACAAATAAGAAAGGAGAACAGCCTTATTGCTGGTATAGAGAAAGTTTTAGTGGTCTGGATAGAAGTTCAAAACAGCCATAATATTCCTTTAAACCAAGCTTAATTCAAAGCAAGGTCCTTACTCTCTTCAATTATGCAAGGGCTAACGGAAGTAGGGAAGCTGCAGAAGAAAAGTTTGAAAATAGCAGAGATTGATTCACTCTGCTAGCTTCAAACTTTAAGAGGTTAAAGAAAAGAAGTCATCCCCATAACATGTAAGTATAAGGCAAAGCATCAAGTGCTGATATAGAAGCTCAGCAAGTTATTCAGAAGATCTAGCTAAGATAATTGTAGAAAGGGCTACACCAAACAAGAGATTTTCAGTGTAGACAAAACAGTCTTATATTGAAAGAGGATGCCATCCAGGACTTTCATAACTAGAGAGGAGAAGCCAATACTTACCTGGCTTCAAAGACTAAAAGAAAAGCCTGACTCTCTTATTAGGGTCTGATGCAGCTTTAAGTTGAAGCCAATGCTTATTTACAAATATGAACTTATTAGAGCCCTTAGGAATTATGATAAATCGACCCTGCCTGTGCTGTATAAATGAAACAAAGCCTGTATGACAACACATCTGTTTACAGCATGGTTAACTGAATATTTTAAGCCCACTGTTGAAATGCACTGCTCAGAAAAAAAGAGATTTTAAAAAAATATATTTCTGCTCATTGATAATGCATATTGGCCCCCAAAAGCTCTGATGGAGATGTACAAGGAAATTAAATTTGTTTTTGTCCCTGACAACACAGCAACCCTCCTGTAGGCCATGTATCAAAGAGTAATGTCAACTTTAAAATTTTATTATTTAAGAACCGTATCTTGTAAGGCTGTAGCTGCCATATATAGTGATTCAAATGATAGATCTTGACAAAATAAGTTGAAAACCTGAAAAGGATTCAACATTCTAGATGCCATTAAGAACACTGAAGATTCATGGGAGGAGATCAAAATAACAGTATTAACAGGAGTTTGGAGGAAGTTCATTCCAACCGTTATGGACAAATTTGAGATGTTCAAGGTTTTAATAAGGGAAGTTACTATAGATGTGGTAGAAATAGCAAGAAAACAAGAATCAGAGGTAGAGCCTGAAGATATGACTGAATTACTGAAATCTCATGATAAAACTTGAGTGGATATAGAGTTATTTCTTATGAATGAGCAAATAATGATTTCTTGAGATGGGATCTACTCCTGGTGAAAATACTGTGAACATTGTTAAAATGACAACAAATGATTTAGAATATTACATAAACTTAGTTAATAATGGAGTGGCAGGGTTTGAGAGGATTGATTCCTATTTTGAAAGAAGTTCTTCTTTGGGAAAATGTTATCAAACAGCATTACATGCTATTCAGGAAAGGAGGAATACATAATGTGGCAAACTTCATTGTTGAATTATTGTAGTAAGTTGCTAAAGCCACTCCAGTCTTGGCAACAAGCACTCTGATCAGTTAGCAGCCATCAGTATCAAAGCAAAACCTTCCAACAGCAAAAAGATTAAGACTTGCCGAAGGCCTAGATGATTGTTAGCATTTTTCAGCAATAACATATTTTTTAAATTAAGGTATACACATTGTTACTTCAGACATAATGCTATTGCACAGCTAATGAAGCATAGTGCAGTGTAAACATAAACTTTTATATTCACTAGAAAACAAAAAAAATTATTTGAGTTACTTTATTGAGATATTCACTTTATTGTGGTGATCTGGAACCAAATCTGCAGTATCTCCAAGGTATGCTTGATACACACACACACACACACACACAGATATAAATGACATACATGTGTATGTAGTGTGTGTGTGTGTGTATATGTGTATATATATGTATATCATATATATGTATATCATATATATGTATATCATATATATGTATATCATATATATGTATATCATATATATGTATATCATATATATGTATATGATATCCCTCAGATGTCTGCTTAGCTTTCTTCCTCACTCATATGTCACCTTAAGACTGACACATTCACTTTCAAAGGATTTCCAACTTAAAGCCTCATGGTAATTCCGTAGCTCATTTCACTTAAACTATAATTTATTTAACAGTTATTTTTCTAGTGCTATGGAATGAATGTGTTTATGCCCCCTAAACTCATATACTGAAATCCTAGCCCCCAAGGTGATGATATTGGAAAGTGGGAATTTGGGAGGTGATTTGATCATTAGGGCTTTGCCCTCATGATGGGATGACTCTCCTTACTGAACAGTCCCCACAGACTCCCTCTGCCCCTCTGCCCTCCCCATCATGTGTAGACACAGCAATAAGACAATCATCTATGAACCAGAAAGAGGGTTCATACATCAAATTTGCCATCACTTACATCATGGGTTTTTTTTGTCTCAAGAACTATGAGAAATAAATATTAATTCTTAACATATGTTACAAAATTTTTTTAATTCTCCATATTTGAAATAATTTGTATATCTTCTACAGTTTCACATTCTTAATTTTCTCCAGGATGGTGAGCTGAGATAGTGGTGATGTAAGTGTAGGCATAAAAACCATACTGTATTACAAATAAATTTATTTAGCATATATTCCCTAATTATCTGCCATGAAACTAGTGTAACTGTTAATTAGGAGAGCTATTTGACTAAAAATGCCATAGAAATAGATGTCTTGAAAATTCTGATACTGACAAAATGTGTCCATATAGAATGTTTTATTGTTCCCACAGATACAAAAACTTGAACTAGAAGAATAGGAAAACTACCATTGTATTGCTGGAATCTAGAGAATTATTCTAGTAATGTATTTAAAATGATAAAGAACTTCCAAAACAAAGTTGAGGATTGCTGACTTCTTTATTTTACCCACTGAGGAATTATATTAGTTAATTCTGCCCTCTTCAGGTTTCCCAAACATATAGAAAACCAGGCCAAGACCTGGAGATAGAACAAGTGCTACGCTGTGTGGACATACGTTTGAAGTATCATATATTTGTGTAAATTTTGAGAAATACAGTCATGCAGTTTATGCTCAAAGATCTAGAATGGAAAATCCTGAGCAGCTCACAGTTAGCAGGTATTTCACAATGAGAATCTGAAGTGGACGCCTAACACAGCCCTGCCATTGCTGGAATCAAATTTGAGGACAAGTAGAGGAAGAAGTTATTCCATGTATAATCATCTTGACTGCAGCTGATGAGAGTTAGTTGAAGAGAAATGTACAGACCTCCTGGACAAACAGCCATATGGGAGTAAACATGTCCAATGAACAGAGATGTATGCACAGAGCAGAGAGTAGAAGATATTTGATAAGTAAATATTTGGAGGCAGCTCACCTGAATTAAATCTTCCACAGTTCTGTATTAACATTCTCCCAGCCCCAGAGATTGCTTCTGTAAATTACTGACTCAGATAGATCCACTGCCATTTGAAAAGATAGGAAATTATGAGATTTATTTATAGCTACTACAGAAAGAAAACTTGGAAGAAAACAATATTAAAAGTTATGAGAACACTCATCAGTTAAAAAATGCCATGAAAATTGAAATCTGCCACAAATGTTTCTCCTCATACTAACACTAATTTATGAAACATAGCAGCTTTAGAATAAGTTCAAATGAAAATTTTAAAAAGGCAAAGAAATATAAGATAATTAGGACTTCAGAAATGACATGGAAAAAAACAAAGCTGTTAGAGAAAGGAAAGCTATATAAAAAGATACAACTTCTAGAGTAAACATTGCTAACATTGTCAAGAAGGTTGGGCTTGTGTGAGAAAAATAAGCAAAACGAATGGAGAAGAACATAGAATAGAAAGATATGGTAGAAAAGGAATACAACCTAGACCTTACAAGTATATAATTGTTTCTATATAATAAAATATAGAAGAGGAAAATACTAAAAGATAAATAGAGTAGAACATTTCTTTTAAAAATATGAAAAGAAGCTGGTGTCAAATGCACATCATATGCCAGGGAAAGTTGATATAGAACAATCTTCACAAAGTCTGATGAAGTTATTTGACTTCAAGCATGATAAATACCCTGTGGACATTCAGGCCTAAATACTTCCATCATCTGGAATTTAAATATTTTTATGGCAATGTACAGTCCCCAAAGAAGTTAAAGCTATGAAAAAAGTATTTCTGGTGGTGGGGAGGACAGAAGTAGTAAGAGGCAATTGATTCTCATACAAGTTCCAGTTCACGTAAAAAGGAAAAAAAGTCATTCTTGTTGACTTAAATCCTTATGGAAGGCCCAATGTATTAGAAATTCTTGTAAATTACAAAAACTCACATAGCCAGTAAATTAAAAGACACATTTGTAAAAGATCTTGGGAAAATAAAACATGGAAATTAAAAAAAAAAAGTTAATGGCTAGGTCTTCGTTGGTCTAAAACAAAAAGGAAAAAGAAACAAGGGAATTTCTGGATATGACATTGAATAAGTTACAAACCATGAAAACAAATAATAATATATCTCACAAAGTATTAAGTAAAAGTACTAAGTAAGAATTGGTGAGAAAGTTGAAGTAACGAAAGCTACTTGGAGTTACGAAAATATAGCAATTTTCCCTCCTGTTTCTGACTCTCAAGGGAAATTGCATAGGTAGATGAATCAGGTTCTATATATTCGATATAATATTTACGGCATCATGGTAAACATGGTAGGATCTAAAACAATAATACAAACAATCAGGCTGGAGATGTATTGGATGTAGGCCTATGTGAAAATCTGTTAACCTCGTTTTTTGTAAGGATAAATAAAAATCTTTTCAAAATTTTTAAAACAATGGTTTAAGTATCTCATTAATCATTAAAACATAATAAATATAATACTAAAAACAATATGAAAATTTGAGAAGTGGGACAAATGAAAAGGAAGGCAGACGAAATGTAAGTCCTCTGTTTTATTGCCCAAGTCCCAATTCATACCTACCTATATTTTCAGTCACTCTTGCTTAATTTCACTTTTTTTTTTTTTTTTTTCTGAGACAGAGTTTGGCTCTTGTAGCCCAGGCTGGAATGCAGTGGCGCGATCCTGGCTCACTTCAACCTCTGCCTCCTAGGTTAAAGCGATTATCTTGCCTCAGCCTCCCAAGGAGCTGAGATTACAGGTGCCTGCCGCCACACCCAGCTAATTTTTGTATTTTTAGTACAGACGGTGGTTCACCATGTTGCCCAGGCTGGTAACGAACTCCTGACCTCAGCCGATTCACCTGCCTCGGCCTCCCAAAGTGCGGGGATTATAGGCCTGAGCCATTACACCTGGCCAATTTCAACATTTTTTCATGTTTTTACTGAATATATATTTTTTAATTAGGTAAAACAGAAAATAATTAAAAGTTGCATTCTGTTATCAGTGGTAAGAATATTTTACTGACAGTTTGTTTCTGTTGTTCATCTTGTGTATATCTAAGACTGTATTTATTTATTTTTTTTGTATGATACCAATTCATTTTGTAGACTATGTATGTAGTCATTTATCCATCCTTGAGCAATTAAATTATTTGGTGGGCTGGTGGAGATTAAAGTATTTGAGTAATCTTGATTTCACTTGCATCACACTGTCCTCAAGCTTTTATTTTTTCAGTAGGAGAAAATTTGCATAATCCAGGCAAATTAAAAGATTCCAAACATTTTCTTCAAAATTGGTCATCAAAAATAAAATTCCCAGAGGATTTTTTTCTGATAGTCCACTCTTTGACACTGCTAAGGCTGGATTCCTCAAGACATAACACACCCTTGCCTTCTTTTCATTGTGAATTTATTGAGCACTTCAACTCCCCTAATTGACAGTAGGAGATTCATACATTAGAATGAGGCTGTGGAGGAGTCATTCTTACTTTCTAACTTTTAAAAAAAAGCTCTTAGGAAGTAAAGCAATGTATTTGATATGTATTAGTTGGAAGTACAAGGCAACGTAGCATAAGCGCAGTTACATGAACAAGGTTTACTAGTAGTTACTGTATCAGAGGTTTAAACATGAGCCAGCTGAAATTAATTTCCCAATCTGTATATACAAATTATACTAGGGTATGTTAAAAATTTGATTGTGTGGGTCGATTTTCTGAAGTACATGGTGGGATTTTTTTTAATTTAACTTTTATTTTAAATTCAGAGGTAAATGAGCAGGTTTGCTATGTAGATAAATTTGTATCATGGGGATTTGTTGTACAGATTTTTTTTTAATCACCCAGGTATTAAGCTTAGTACTCACTAGTTATTTTTCCTGATCCTCTCCCTCCTCCTAACCTCACCATCCAATAGGCCCCTGTACGTGTTGTTTCTCTCTATGTGTCCGTGTGTTTTCATCATTTATCTCCCACTTATAAGTGAAAATCTGTGGTATTTGGTTTTCTGTTCGTGCTTTAGTTTGCTAAGGTTACTTGCCTCCAGCTCCATCCAGTTTCCTGCAAAGGACATGATCTTGTATTTTTTTTTTTTTTAACTTTAAGTTCTGGGATACATGTGCTGAACGTGCAGGTTTGTTACATAGGTATACATGTGCCATGGTTGTTTGTTGCACCTAAACCCGTCATATAGGTTTTAAGCTATACCATGTGCTAATGTCATTCCTTTTTTTTTTTTACTTTAGCTAGACAATGGGGTTATTAAATTATATTTTATAATTTAAACTATTATATATTTTGTAATTTTTTCATAAATGATTTAAACTAATAATATATATTTTGAATAGTTACTGGAAATAGAAAATAGCCCATAAATCACCACAATTTTTTTCTTTCTTCAGACTTCTTTCCTCTTCCCTTTTATTCTTCCTCATTTATGTGTTTTTTCTCACATTTTTCTCTCTTCTTTTTACACATTTCGTTTTCTCCACTTGTCTTCTCTCCCTCTCATACTTCTTCACATTGAAATGTTGATCTTTTCTTTTATCACCTTTCTTATTCTCTTTTTGGTCCCATTTTTTCCACTTCATCTATTCTGCGATGATTTTTTTTCTTTGGTTTGTTTCCCAAGGACTTCTTGTTATTTTACTTATTATTTTGTAATCAAATATTTTTCCTCCAACGTTTATGTTCGGGGATGCACGTATCAACTTGTTACATGGGCAAACTCTGTGTTGCTGGGGTTGGTGTCCAAATGATTTCATTACCCAGGTAGTCAGCATAGTACCCAAGAGGTAGTTTTTCGATCCTCAATCTCTTCCCACTCCCCACCCTGAAATAAGCCCTGGTGTCTATCCTTCTCTGTGTGTACACATGTACTCAATTTTTAACCCTCACTGATGAGAACATGTGATACTTGGTCTTCTGTTCCTGAGTTAATTTCTTTAGGATGTCTCTAGCATCTTTCTACCATAAAACACATGAATGCACATGCATATTGCAGACTTTTCACTCTCGCAAAAACATGGAATTAAGATGCCTATCAGTGGTGAACTAGATAAAAATATGGCATACATATAAACCACGGAATACTATGCAAGCATAAAAAGAATGGAATTATGTTTTTGGCAGCAACGTAGGTACAACTGAAGGCTATTCTTCTGCTAGTATTTGCCTATGTTTCCATCTTCCTAGACTTCTCTTCTTCCTTTCTTTCTCATCTCTTTGCCCCCTTCTTCTGCACATCCTACACTCTTTTTCATCCCATGTCTTCATAGTAGTCCTGACATGGAAGAGAAATAAATTCCTAGTTCTTCCCAAAGAACTTGGCAAATCATATTCCAATTTCAATTTCCATAAGTCTAATTGAGGGCTTTTTGCATTATGCAGAGATTCATACTAACCTGTGTAAAACATTCCCCACTTCACTAGCATTTCAATTTGAACACTATCTTAGATCCATTAAGTTCATAGTAATTTTGAACACAAATTCACCATATATATTTTCAGTTTGTTTGTCTTCTGTTCTTGTTACTTGCTGAGTAATTTTAATTTTTATAAACCTAAAATATTTGGCCCAATTAAAATATTCAAAGGTTATAACCATCAGAAAAATTCACTAATAAATATAAATTTGTTTACATAAAAAATGATAAGCTTATTAGTGGCATTTTAACAGACCATAAAATAAAAAAAAGCACTTATTCTCATATACTTCCAAGAAAGAAAGAATTATCAAACTCTACTTAGCAGAGATGATCAGAAAATAAGTTATTTTGCCTCAGGCTTCCCTGGGAAAGACCTACTTTATTAGAATTAAAATAAGCCACTTATTTTAATTCTAAATTCATGAAAACACACACTACCTCTAAGCATGTCTGTTGGTAAGTTTAACGTATTTGTCTAAATTCAATTTTTATTCTTCCAGCTTACAGATAATGAAGACAAATAGGTTTCATATGTCAAACTCTGTCACTGCTTGGAGAAGACTTTTAAAAATCCATCACCTATTGCCTAGGTTATTTATTTAAAATGTACAGAAACTTCTTTAGTCCATTAATAATATGGGAAAGACAAGATGTCTTTGGATTTTAATATAAGCAAATTTGTCACCCTTTCACGTTTACATGTGCTTTCTGAATTAATTAAATTTGAAACTCTTACTCCAAGATTATAGCCTAGATGTTTTCTAAATACTCATTTTGAAAAGAAAAGTGATAAATATTTTGCATTACTTTTAACCCTAGACATTATAGAGATACTCAGTTTACATAGTCAATTTATTTTTCTTACTAACTTGTTCTACAGTCTTAATATTTGTTTTTATTTTCAAACTTATGAGGATACTTAAAAATGTATTTCCAGGCCAGGTATGGTGGCTCATGCCTGTAATCACAGCAATTTGAGAGGCCAAGGGAGGTGGATCACTTCAACTCAGGAATTCGAGACCAGCCTGGGCAATATGGTAAAACCCTATCTCTACAAAAAATAAACAAAATTAGCCAGGCATGGTGCCACATACCTGTAATAACAGTTACTTGGGAAGCTGAGGCATGAGAATTGCTTGAACCTGGGAGACAGAGGTTGGAGTGAGCCAAGATCATGCCACTGCACTCCAGCCTGGGCAACAGAGCAAGACTCTGTCTCAAAAAATATGACATACATATAAACCATAAAAATGAATAAAATTATGTGGGTTTTTTTTTTGCAGAAACATAGGTACAACTAAAGGCAATTCTTCTGCTACTACTATACACACACACACGCATTTCCAAAAGTCTTAGTGCTGTTTTAAGCTTTACACATACACACACACACGTATATTTCCAAAAGTCTTAGTGCTGTTTTAAGCTTTACGTAGTTTATTAATTCTCTTACTAGTATCTCATGAATATTCTTGTGACTATCTACAAAGCATCCAAGAATAACTTTGGTCAGCCCCCAAGTCGAACTAAGCTATGGCTCTTCAACAAGGCTGCCTCATCTCATTTATTTTTGTCTCTGTTATTTGCTACTTTTCTAATCAGTTCACCTTGACCTACATTAATAGCTTCAATTATAAACCAATTCTGGGATAGTTATGTGTTGGATTATGTCTCCCCAACCCCACCACCAATTTATATGTCAAAGTCATAATACCCATCACCTCAGAAAGTAACCGTAATTGGAGATAGGCTCTTTAAAGAAGTAAGTATATTAGTCATGGTTCTCTAGAGGGACAGAGCTAATAGGATACACACACACACACACACACACACACACACACACACACATATATATGTATGTTATGTTATATATGTATATATATGTTATATATGTGTGTATATATAAAACACACATATATATATAAATAAGGGAGAGTTTATTAAGTATTAATTCACATGATCACAAGTTCCACAATAGGCCGTCTGCAAGCTGAGGAGCAAGGAGAGACAGTCCCAGCCCCAAAACTGAAGAGCTTGGAGTTTGATGTTCGAGGGCAGGAAGCATCCAGCACGGGAGAAAGATGTAGGCTGGGAGATTAGACCAAACTAGGCTTTTTACGTTTTTCTCCTTGCTATATATTCTAGCCATACTGACAGCTGATTAGATGGTGCTCACCCTGATTAAGGGTGGGTCTGTCTTTCCCAGCCCACTGACTCAAATGTTAATCTTTTTTGGCAACATTCTCACAGACACATCCAAGATCAATACTTCAATCAAGTTGACACTCAGTATTAGCCATCAGAATAAGTGAAAATGAGGTCAGAATGGTGGGGCTCTAATCCAATAGGTCTAGAGTCCTTTTAACAAGAGGAAGAGTGTGTGCACACTGAGAAAAGGCAATGTGAGAACACAGTGAGACAGGAACCCTCTGCTAACCAAGGAGAAAGCCCTCTCCAGAAACCAACTCACCAGTACCTTGATCTTGGACTACTGACCTCTGAAACCATGAGAAAATACATTTCTGTTCTTTTAACCACTAGTCTGTGGTATTTTGTTGTAACAGCCTTAGCAAACTAGTATACTACTGACCAAACCTTCCTTACTTTGAAGTAGAAATTATGTAATAGCTTTCATGTTTGCTCCTTATTTTTTTTTGCAAACGCTCTTTGCCTATGCTGCGGATTCTATCATGAATAGCGTATCCAAGAATTTTTGCTTACTATCTTAAATGCTTTATGAGTCATAGTTGTTGACTTAAGCCATGAGTTCAAATAATGGGGCACTTCTCTGGCTCCATTTGTAAGTTATGATCAATTGCAAACTTCCTTTGTAATTCACTGGTTCAATTCCACTAAAATCTATGTGCTAAGCTTTATGCTAAGTACAGTAGCTCCCCTTATTTGTGAGGGACCTGTTCCAAGACCACCAATAGATGCCCAAAGCCAAAGATAGTACCAGACTCTACACATACTATGTTTTTCCTATAAATACATACTTATGATTAAGTATAATTTATAAATTAGGCAGAGTAAGACATTAACAACAATAACTGCTAATAAAATGGAACAATTATACAATATACAGTAATAAAAATTGTGTGATTGCGGTCTGTATCTCAAAATATCTTATTATACTATACTCATCTCTCCTCTTGTGATGATGTGAGGTGATAAAATGCATATGTGATGAGATGAACTAACAGAAATGATGTAGGCATTGCGACCCAGCATTAGGCTACTAATATCCTTCAAAACAAGTACTATGATACCCTGACAGTGGATCTGATAACCCAGATGGCTACAAAGTGGCTAACAGGCAGGTAGCATAAACAGTGTGAATATGATGAACAAAGGAATGATTCACATCCCACGCTGGATGAAGCAGGACAGCTTGACCATCACAATGGTCAGAATGGAGCACAATTTAAAACTTATGAATTGTTTATTTTTGCAATTTTCCATTTAATATTTTTGGATCACCACCGACCATGGAAAACTGAAACTCATGAAAAGAAAACCTAGATAAGGGAGGACCATGCTAGTATGCTTGTGTGGGACTTGCCTGCAGTTCACCTATATGACTAGTACTGAAAAGTGGGCGTGCCTGATAGACACTGGGTTTTTTCTCAACTAGCTTTACCGTCTGCATTCCTGGCCTGGGCAAGTGATACATTTGGGATGAAGATGTTGACATTCCCTACTTCTAACCCTCCTGAGTAAATTATACAAGCCACAGTAACAGCTTGAGTATATAGAAAAAAGAAAAGTGACATTTTTCCTCCCAGAGGAACCAGGCTAATAAGTAACCAAGCCAAAGCCAAGAGCTAGTTCAGTTACTTAAAAGTGACCTCTGTTCTATACCTAAATTGTATTCCTTATGTTGTAAATTACTTCTTTTATAGTTCAAGTTCTATTCATGATATCAATATGAAGCCCAAATCAATTTCTCAGACGGACCACAGAGAATATTAGGTCATCATTTTCTATGTCCAATTTTATTGGGCATTCAAAAGTAATTGCTAAGTTTACTCAATTACAATTACTCTGCTGAATAATTATAAGTGCTTAAGGAACTTACATGCCACTTGGAAAAAGATGAAACAAAATTACAAAGGTTTAAAATGGGAAAATATCTTATCTGGCAAATTAGGTAGTATAGACTAATCTATATTTTCAGGTCCAGTTGACCACATATATATTCATTTTTTCTGGATGCCTTACAGGCAATATAATCAACTTAAAAAAGAACAGATCAATTGTGCTTTTCTCTACAACTTCTTGAATCCCATTTTATTTTGTTCATGGCATTATGCTCTACTTCATCAACCAAACTAGGAATTTTGGAGTCATCTCTGACTTGTTCTTCATATTGTCCTCCTCTGGGGGGACACTGGGGGAAGTGGGTACAAGTGAATGAATTTCATCTTTCACTAGCATATAAAATGACATAGTAGATGTGAACAGTTCATAAGAGTTGTTATTTTTAAAATACACGTATATGTGAATTGTTATAGCGATTAAAATAATAAAGGCTAACATTTGTAAATACCTATTTCTTTTTTTTTTTCCACTGCAGTTTTTATGAGTCCAGTCCCCTTGGTTTCATCTCTTCAATCCTGCAGCTTTTCCTGCATCCTTTCGCTCTTGCTGTTGGTAATTCATCTTACATACTACTGTCTAATTATTTTGTCTAAAGCAAATATCTAACCAAATGAACTTTCTAAACTGATTTTAGTCAATCTGTAACTAAAGTCCAAGGTGTATTGTACTGAGTGTTGGAAAGGTAGGTGGGAACAAAGGTGAGAAAGGCCTCGGAATGCAAACTAATAAATGGAACACCAGTTAACTCTTTTTTAAATTAATTCATGTTTTGAAAGATAACTTGGTGCTGTATATTTTTTTTAAAAAAAAGGGTTGTTTGCTTTTGAACATATAGCATATTTTATTCTAACCATTTTCTCCAGGAATTGTCACTTGCTGTAATATTGGTCCTTATTCTTGGCTGGCTGCACAGTGGAATAACTAAGAGAAAAATCCCAATGACTGTGTCTGTGACAGATACCGATTTGCAGTCTGTGCATGGAAAGTTTTAAAAAGCTCCCCATGTGACTCTAATGTGCATGCAAGGCTGAAAACTGCGGCCTTAAAGGAATGTTATTCTCTTTTTCATCAAGTTATATTCTTATATTTCAACACAAGTTTTACCTAGGTAGTTTTCTTTGATGTAAACATTCAAGACTTTAAGTACAATATTATTAACCTATGTATATATATTTATATCTGATGTGCTTAACTGATTAATACAATGTAGATTTCCTTTCTACAGGAAGGACACACAGTTCTTATTTTTTCCAGACATACTTGCTACAGTAAATATCTGAGTAGTATCTAGAGATATGCTGGCCAGTACAGTAGCCATTAACCCCATGTGCTACTGAGCACTTGAAAATATGGTTAGCTTTTGTGCCTTATGCATCCATACTGTGGCTTCAGTGATCCCTTAAGCCCATTGAATTGATTGTCTCAAAACAATACTTGGTCTGAGTCTGGTTTGGTACATCAGAGCGAGACTCCATCTCAAAAAAAAAAAAAAGGCACTTTCTATTAAAATTTCAATGCACAGACTTTTTGAGAAAAATTCTACATCTAGGGATGTATTTTAAGTAAATCCTTTAAATGAAAACAAAAGTAGATTTTTCAATTATGCTCTTTGCAGCTATTAATGAATGAATGAGCACCTACAATATGTCAAGAACTATAATAAGCACTGGGAATAAAATGATGAGTAAAATAAATTCAATGCACGCCATCATGGAGATTACAGATTAGTAGAAAAAATTAAATATTCACACAAATCGTACAATATAAGCCATGAAAGAAGTATGAAAATAAATACAGAATGCTATGAGAACATGATGATGGCATGTTTATACTAAGGTATTCTCAGATGAATATCATGGAGTTGGTGACATTCACAGTAACATTTCGAAGATAAATAAGAGTATTACATGAGTTAGGATTAAGAGGGAAAAAACTAAACTAAAAAGATTGGCCTAGTTTGTGAGATCAGAGAAATATTCCCTAAAGAAGGGGTGTTTCATTTAAGATGGGAAAGAGTGAAAGGGTATGTCGGGAAAAGAATAATTTTCCATACAAAGAAAGTTATATGTACAAGGATATGAGCAAGAACATTTGAGGGATCAAAATAAGGTCATTGTGGCTTAAGCATAGTATTTCAAACTCTAACAGAAACTCTTAAATATGACTAATAAAGAAGAAATTAATTATTACCAATCATATAAAATACACCTTTGCAGAACGACTAATCACACCCATGTTACAGGTGATGGAATTGAGACTCAGGAGAAAGTAATGACTGTGTAAGGTAACCAGAAACTCTGCCTTCCATCCCAAGGCTGTTTTTAGGAAAATATAAGCTCAACCTCCAAATCTCCCTCAATCTCCACCCTTGTTCTTCTACAGGTCCCTGGGTCTTCCTCTCCGTATTTCTGTGCCTGCAGCCTGTCACTGGCTACTGCTGCAGGAAAACTAGGCCCTCTGCTCACCCCATTTCAAAATACTTATAATATGTAATATGTGTATAATATGTATGACACTGAATCTTATAAAATAGATTTATAGTTAGATAACTGATAGATGAGCTATTGCTAACAGAAAATATATCTCAATATAAGCAAAGAATCCATATCACAAAAATTAAGTAAGAACAAACAGTGTGTGAATATTCAGTCTGTATTAAGAATACTAACAGAAGGCCTACACTATTCTTGAGTGTTAGTAGGATACATTTCAACAGGTAGGACATGTGAGTGAATAAAGGCCAAAAGTGAAAAAGAGTTATTACCACATGGATAGCACCTCACTTTACTGCCTAGGATATGCAGGGAGAGCTCCACTGAAAAAAAGGCCTGTATCTACCACGATCATTCATTTTTTTACTATTAAACAATTATTAATGGAGCATTTATTGCTGCATAGAATTATTGCCCTATCTATCAGTAATATAGCAGTGAAAGAGACTATAAAATTATTCACTTTTATGGAGTTCCTGTTCTAGCGGACTCTAGACTACTAAAGCAAATATAAGTCTGGAGTATAAACTAGTAAAAGAGTCTGAAAGGAGCTGCTAAGAAGTAGTGAGTAAATCTAGGGAAAAAATGTGGTATCAGAAGAGGGGAGGGGAACAAAGAAATGTTAAGAAGAATATAGCCACTGGTATCTAATGCCACATAGATTAAACTGAAAAGCGTCTTGTAGATTACTTCCCTGAGCCTGGAAACTCACGTGTCCTACTGCTGAGTGTATTTTCAGTAAATATGTACACAGTCATTATCATACAATGCACATGGTGATATTTGCCACAGAAGAAGAAAAATAACATATGAATATGTTCAGAAGGAAGACAAACCTGAGTGTGAGGAAACATGCCCATGCTCCAGATGCAGAAATAAGACATGAATCTATGAATGTTCCTGTTACATGAGGCTGAGAGAACCAGGATTCTTTTTACAAGGGCTTTGATTATAATTCGAAGACCCCAGCATATGCAGAGTTATGTGATCTTAAAATGATCTCAAAATAGCTCTGCAATTCTCTTGACTGCAAGAGTTTTGAAAAACAGGTAAAAATGTGTACTGCATATTTTATTGCACACCTATTCATTCCTCTAAGGAACAGAGTGTTTATTCTAAGGTAGTTGCTGGTAAACAAACATATAAATATTTAGCATAATTCTTGAAGTATGGTGAGATGTAAAATGTACAATATTTAAGCAACACAATATAGTCAGTAGGCTTTTGTTGCTGAATTCAATAGTTGAGATTGCTGTTGCAATCTCAGTGCATTTATGCTTTCAAACAACAGGAAACATTTAAGGTACGGTGTAAGAATATTAGTTGTATTACAATGATCATGCAAAATTTCTGATTTGTTTGTTCTTCATTATTTTTAAAAAACCCAACTTGTATTAGATGGTGTTAGCATTATTTCCTTGCTGGTTTGACTCTGTAAACAAAGTATGATAGAGAGTTTTCTTTTCTCAGCAAACCTGCATCCCAATGAGCCATTATTTAGTAGTGATATCATCTTTCATGTATTTATGTGTCTCAGCATATGACAGTGTGAATGTGTATTGCTAAGATTTATTGGATAGGGTGTTGTCCCATTTTTATTGCACCACTTAGTTTTTTTTCTTTCCTTTTCTACAGATAAAATAAATCAAAATCTTAGTGCCATAAAATCTAATTGTACATCTTGCAATTCTGTATCATCATAAGAGAGTGCTATACATGTACAATGCTTTATATGTTTGAGTGGTTTACTTGTCTCTTCTGTAAGATAATACAAATGACAATCAGCTTAGAAAGCCACACATGGCAGATTTTCATGGAACTATTATATCAGTTGAGGTGCTATATATGAAACCTGATGAGCCTAGTAATAACTTTATAAAGCAGGGTTATCAAAGTAGTGCCGATTTCAGCAGGAAAGAAAGACATCCACAACTGGAAATCTCTGTAGACTGCCAAATTACCCAAAATCCTATTCTGCAAAGCAGTAATCTTTAATATTCCAATAAAAAGTAACTCTTTTTGGGATAGCTATTGTGCTTGTAATTGAACACTCAGAAAGCAATTTGCATAAAATTGCAAGGGACCACAGAAAAAAATGCTGATAAAAAAGGTAATTTAGGATGACTGAAAAGCCTTTTGCTCCTATGTTACTCTGTCTGCATTTATTCTTCATTCAACTCTCAAGCACCTCGTATGTGCCTGGTACATACAAGTCACTGGCAATGAAGATTTAAAAGAAACATTGCTTGAATCCGGGAGGTGGAGGTTGCAGTGAGCCGAGATCACGCCACTGCACTCCAGCCTGGGCGACAGAGCGAGACTCCATCTCAAAAAATATATATAAATAAATAAAATAAAATAAAATAAAATAAAATAAAATAAAATAAAATAAACACCTTGTACCCAAGAGGAATCTATATTTTGCTGCTGAGACTAGTTACTAGGCACTAAGAAGACTAAGGTTTGATAATTTTCATTAGAAAGGTAAACATCGAGAACATTTTGTCAGGGTTTTGAGAACTTGGGAGTGATATGTCAAGGAAGCTACTCAGTTGAGGTGATGTTTGATGAGTTAAAAACAAAGATGGGGGATTGGAGAGAAGACATTCTATGTAGAGGAAATATCATGTGAAACACACAGAAATGGTATTTCTACTTCTAGATCTTTGAGGAATCGCCACACTGTCTTCCACAATGGTTGAACTAGTTTACAGTCCTACCAACAGTGTTCCTATTTCTCCACATCCTCTCCAGCACCTGTTATTTCCTGACTTTCTAATGATCGCCATTCTAACTGGTGTGAGATGGTATCTCATTGTGATTTTGATTTGCATTTCTCTGACGGCCAGTGATGATGAGCAATTTTTCATGTGTCTGTTGGCTGCATAAACGTCTTCTTTTGAGAAGTGTCTGTCCATATCCTTCGCCCACTTTTTGATGGAGTTGTTTGTTTGTTTCTCATAAATTTGTTTGTGTTCTCTGCAGATTCTGGATATTAGCCCTTTGTCAGATTAGTAGATTGCAAAAATTTTCTCCCATTTTGTAGGTTGCCGGTTTCACTCTGATGGTAGTTTCTTTTGCTGTGCAGAAGCTCTTTAATTAGATCCCATTTGTCAATTTTGGCTTTTGTTGCCATTGCTTTTGATGTTTTAGACATGAAGTCGTTGCCCATGCACTATTCACAATAGCAAAGACTTGGAACCAAGCCAAATGTCCATCAATGATAGACTGGATTAAGAAAATGTGGCACATATACACCATGGAATACTATGCAGCTATAAAAAAGGATGAGTTCGTGTCCTTTGTAGGGACATGGATGAAGCTGGAAACCATCATTCTCAGCAAACCATCGCAAGGACAAAAAACCAAACACTGCATGTTCTCACTCATAGGTGGGAACTGAACAATGAGAACACTTGGACACAGGAAGGGGAACATCACACACCAGAACCTGTCATGGGGTGGGGGGAGAGGGGAGGGATAGCATTAGGAGATATACCTAATATAAATGACAAGTTAATGGGTGCAGCACACGAACATGGCACATGTATACATATGTAACAAACCTGCACGTTCTGCACAGGTACCCTAGAACTTGAAGTATAATAATAAAAAAAAAAAAAAGAAAAAAAGCTCAAAAAAAAAAAAGAAATGCACAGAAAATGAAAGAGCCAGGTGCATTTTAACATAGAAAAAAGTTGGCTAAGTATGGGGAGAAATGAGAAAAAATCAGAGATACGGATTAGAAAGTTAGAGGGCTAGTTACCAATACATTTTTATACTGTGTTAAATGCCTTAAATTTAATGTTGAAGAAATTAGAATCTATTACCAATTATATTAGAACATGTTCTAATCTGATTTACATTTTTAAAAAATCAGTGTGGAGTACACTTTACAGAGGGGCAAGAACCAAGACCTTTTATGAGTCTCCTGCAGTAATCGACATGAGTGATGATGTGCGCCAAAGTTAAATTAAAAGAGTGAGATGGAAAAAGGGAATTAATAATTGTATGAGAAAATAAGAAACCGAAATTGACACAACCTGGTGGAAGAAAAAAAGAATAAGGAGCTACATATTAATCCCTGTGGAAAAAACTGATGTGTCTTTTAGTCAGAATTCAGATTCTATCTGAAATATGACATACTATTTTAATTTTTTAAAAGATTAATTCAATAAAGTGCCTTGATATGTTTTATTTAAATTGGTTCAAGCAATTTTTGCCATCATTTTTGGTAGGACATATATAGAATACTATATATTTCACAAGAAACTAAGTTTTTGTTAATATTGGGCCTGATTTTGCCCGTATTTTTCTGTTAGAAGGAACAAATGAGCAAATATCTACAAGGTTGTTAGTTCAGTGCCTGGCACATCTTGGGTTTTATTATCTTTTATTTGTCTTTATAGTTTTATTGTTTGTATTTGTGAATTACACTATAATTATACTGGTTTTTAAAGGAACACATGTAGAGGAGAAAACAGCAGTGTATGTTTCACATGTGTTTTGGTTTAGTACATATCTGAAATCGCTAAATCAAAATTTACAAACAAATTATATATCCAGTCCTTACATTTCACTACTTGATGAAGCTTTAAAAGTTTCCTGATATTTTACTATTGTTGGGAGTGATGATATTTAGCATATGTTAAATATGAACACATAATTTTTGATCCTTTTTTCTGTATTTCTCTGTATTTATGAATACCTTGGCATAATTATTTTTAATCATATAACTTTTCTATGTTTAAACTTTCTTAAGGGAATAAATTACACTTAATTAAACTATGTTTTTAGCCTTAAAGCAAAATTCACATGGACCTATAAAAGGAAAAATTGTATCAAATCCATACTAGCAATGAAACATCTTGATAGAACAAAGAACATTGATTTGGAATCAGAAAATTCTGTGTTCAATTTCAGGTATATATTATCTCAAAATAACCTCTTCTACTGCCCTGTTGATACCTAAAATAAAGTATAATCAACTGACTTCTGTAAACTTTATTCTGAACCTTCATAAAACCAAGCTTTGGAGGAAAATCATTATTCATAGTCCTTGGTTGTTGCCTAGTCCTTTCGTTCGTAGTTTTCTTGTTGACAGGTTTGTCAATCCATTTATTTTTTATTGATTACTCCAATAAACATGTATTATGCATCTGCTCTATGCCTGGATCTGAGTTAAGCATGAACAATACGATCATAATAATAATGCACACATACATGTGTTACCCTGTCCTCAGGAAGCTGACCATTTATTTTAATCCTTCCCAAACTCTCTGTAGTGAAGGAGCTTTAATTTCCAATATATTGATAATATATTTTCAAAGAATACAATAAAAATATGTTACTAGAAGAATGACCTGGTGAAAAGGCATTCAAAATACAGATGCTGATTTTTATTATCAGATTTTCACAGATATAAAATCAATGTTAATAACTGTCATCAAGACAGGTATATCACAGGAAAGGGAAATAGAATTATACCAAATTATAAAAATTGTGTTCATAAGTGTTCCTTTTACTCTACAACGTCAACCCAGCAATGCCATTACTGGATATATACCCAGAAGAATATAAATCATTCTACAATATAGACACATGCACATGAATGTTCAATGTAGCACTATTCACAATAACGAAGACATGGAATCAGCCTAAATGCCTATCAATGACAGACTGGATAAAGAAAATGTGGAACATATACATCAGAGAATACTATGCAGCCATAAAAAAGAATGAGATTATGTGTTTTGTGGAAATGTGGGTGGAGCGAGAGGCCATTATCTAAGCAAACTAACTCAGGAACAGAAAACCGAATACCGCATGTTCTCACTGATAAGTGGGAGCTAAATGATGAGAACTTATGGACAGAAAGAAGGGAACAACACACACTGGGGCCTGCTTGAGAGTGGAGGTTGAGAGGAGGGAGAGGAGCAGAAAAAAATAACTATTGGGTACTAGGCTTAGTACCTGGGTGATGAAATAATCTGTACAACAAACCCTCCTGATTTACTTCTATCACAAATCTGTAGGTGTACCCATGAACCTAAAATAAAAGTTAAAAAAATTGTGTTCATTGAAGTACATGCATAGACAATTAATACAGAGAATATCACATTAACATCTTATAGTTGCACGCAATTATACCTAATTATAAAATATATGTAGCATACTTTTGCTAAATGTGTTCACAAAAATAGAAAAGGAAATTTTAATGTAATTTCAGTCCACTAAGGATATTATTTATTTAATAAATTATAGATTCATGGATCTCCCATGAATAGATCTTCATATCGACAATTATCAATGTCGTATCAGATTCATTAAGTGGTAAAAACTTCAAGCAGATATTCAATATTAAAATAATCACTTTATTAAAACTTGTTAAAATATAAAATGTAGTAACATTTTTACACTCAGATTTTATCTGCTATTGAAAATTATGTGTGCTTTTTCCTGAATGGAAATACTAAGATTATTATAAATATACAAGATACAGAATAAGTAAGCATGTTTAACTAACATTACAAAGTTAGATCCAAACTTTTTTTTTAATCTTGCAGAAACACTAAGAGCTTGTTTGGTAGGACAAACATTGATAGCCACCATACTTCAGCATTCAATCACATTTGCTTATGATTGATGTCCATATTATCCCATAATTAAGCAAATAATATATGATTTAACAAATTATATATATTTCTATAGCATCAGTAAGCATATTGTTTAGATTGGCTAACGATTTTTTCATAGCAAGGCTTTCTTGATGAAGGAAGCAGTCTTAATTTCTATTTGAGCATTAACTCCTTAATTAGAAAAAAAAAACCTCTGTAATAACTGTCATTGCAGATATCTAGATTGCAGAATAAAATCCTACATAAAACATACAACTCCAAGCCAAATATTTGTGCATGTAATTCTCCATATTTTTATAGACTTCAAGCTTTTTTGTTGTCGAAAAAACTAAATTTTTTTTCTTTATATCATTAGACTTCAAATGACACATTTCAAAAAAACCAAAAGGTAATTTTCAACATCTATGCATTCATCAAGTTGCAATGAAAAACACTTTGCAAACTATATTCTATGAGTTTTTTTGTCCCAATAATTAGCTGATTTCTAAATACATTATTCTCTGATGTCTTAGAAAAGTAATATTAGATATATCTCTTTGTCATAGGCTTATCCAATATTTTGATGCAAAATATTCAATGTAGCTTTTTCTTAATCTATACACAATTACACATTTTTTACGGTTTAAACAACTCAAGTCCTACTTTATAAGAAGTCCTCACAACATTAATGATATATCCAAAATAGTGAGCTTCCATCTTGCGTTTGTTGGGTTTTAAATATAATGCTTTGTTACAAACAATTTTGGGGATTTAAATTTTTAAAAATATTTTATGCAAGTGTTGGTTTATGCTTTTATAGTTTCATTGCTTTAATCTATACTACATCTGTACAAAAAAAGGTCGATGATTTTCACTTTTCATACTTCACCATCAATTATAAAATCACTGCCAGTATATGAGGGATTGTACTTCTATAAACAAACACAAGGTATGTAGTAGTCAATAATTCAAAATCAATTCCATTATAATTGTGTTGTTATTGCTGCCACAGTCAGAAAAAAGTAGTTTCCCTCGGCCAGAAAAAGGAATAAATTAAGGGTCAAATAAGTATATAAATTATATACATTTAACTTCCCTAATTTAATTAATGTTAAACTATAAATTTATTTTATTTATGTATTTTTTTTTAGACAGAGTCTCGCTCTGTTGTCTAGGCTGGAGTGCAGTGGCATGATCTCGTTTCACTGCAACCTCCACCTCCCGGGTTCAAGTGATTCTCGTGCCTCAGCCTCCTGAGTAGCTGGGATTATGGGAATGTGCCACCAAGCCCGGCTAATTTTTGTATATATTTTCAAATTATACTTTAAGTTCTGGGATACATGTGTAGAACATGCAGGTTTGTTACATAGGTATACATGTGCCGTGGTGGTTTGCTGCACCCATCAACCTGTCATCTACATTAGGTATTTCTCCTAATGCTATCCCTCCCCTAGACCCACAACCCCCAACAGGCCCCAGTGTATAATGTTCCCCTCCCTGTGTCCGCGTGTTCTCATTGTTCGACTCATACTTTGTCCACACGTGAGAACGTGTGGTTTTTGGTTTTCTGTTCCTTTGTTAGTTTGCTGAGAATGATGGTTTTCAGCTTCATCCACGTCCCTGCAGAGGACATGAACTCATTCTTTTTTATGGCTGCATAACATTCCATGATGTATATGTGCCACAGTTTCTTTATCCAGTCCACCATTGATGGGCATTTGGGATGGTTCCAAGTCTTTGCTATTGTGAATAGTGGGGCAATAAACATGCATGTGCGTGTGTCTTTATGGTAGAGTGATTTATAAACCTTTGGGTATATACCCAGTAATGGGATTGCTGGGTCAAATGGTATTTCTGGTTCTAGATCCTTGAGGAATCAACACACCGTCTCCCACAATAGTTGAACTAATTTACCCTCCCACCAACAGTGTAAAAGCGTTCCTATTTCTCCACATTCTCTCCAGCATCTGTTGTTTCCTGACTTTTTAATAATCTCAATTCTAAATGGCGTGAGATGGTATGTCACTGCAGTTTTGATTTGCATTTCTCTAATGACCAGTGATGATGAGCTTTTTTTCATATGTTTGTTGGCCGCATAAATGTCTTCTTTTGAGAAGTGTCTGTTCATATCCTTTGCCCACTTCTTGATGGGGTTGTTTTATTCTTGTAATTTTTTTTAAGTTCCTTATAGATTCTGGATATTAGCCCTTGATCAGATGGATAGACTGCAGAAATGTTCTCCCATTGTATAGGTTGCCTGTTCACTCTGATGATAGTTTCTTTTGCTGTGCAGAAGCTCTTTAATTAGATCCCATTTGTCAATTTTAGCTTTTGTTGCCATTTTTTTTTGTTGTTTTAGTCATGAAGTCTTTGCCCATGCCTATGTCCTGAATGGTATTGCCTAGGTTTTCTTCTAGGGTTTTTATGGTTTTAGGTCTTACTTTTAAGTCTTTAATCCATCTTGAGTTAATTTTTGTGTAAGACGTAAGGAAGAACAAAGCTGGAAGCATCACACTACCTGACTTCAAACTATACTACAAGGCTGCAGTAACCAAAACAGCATGGTACTGGTACCAAAACAGATATATAGACCAATGGAACAGAACAGAGGCCTCAGAAATAATGCCACACATCTACAACCATCTGATCTTAGACAAACCTGATAAAAACAAGCAATGGGGAAAGGATTCCCTATTTAATAAATGGTTATGTGAAAACTGGTTAGCTATATGGAGAAAACTGAAACTGGACCCCTTCCTTAATTTTTGTATTGTTAGTAAAGGTGGGGTTTCACCATGTTGGCCAGGCTGGTCTCAAACTCCTAATCTCAAGTGATCTGCCTGCCTCGGCCTCCCAAAGTGCTGGGATTACAGGCATGAGCCACAACACCCAGCTTATAAATGTTTTTAAATTAAAGAAAAGTGAAGAAAATATGCAAAAGATGCTTGCATATTCTCAGCTGTTTATGGATTATAAATAACTAATTAACCTTAAAGTATCACAGTTTGGAATATGATATCACTGTGCATTTCTAAGCAGGTCAATTGACATGCAATTTATCACAGGTTTAACAACAAACTTATCTATACTCAATCCAATGAAAGAAGCTCCCTACATATTTGTTCGAATGTTATGAAACAAAAATGTGCTATAAAAATTCCTAAATGCTTACTTTCACTTTTGGTAATTGTTTCATTTCCGACTGGTAACCAATAGTTCCGGGACCATCACCAGTCTATGAACCATACTTCGAGAAGAACTGGCCTAGCACTCATAAGAAATGCATAGATTTTGGATGTTTCATGAAAGAGAAATATAAGAGACTGTGAGGATTTATAGAAGAATTTTAATCTAGCTTTTGGAATTCATCGGGATTGGGATTCCCCTTCTGATTCTTAGAGAGGAATTAATATTTACCATTATTTGAAAATAACAGTTACTGGTTAGGTAAAGAAAGCTCAGAGAAACTTGTTTTCCTTGTTCCCTTCCTACAACAATTATGTTGTTCTTAGATAGGAACTCTCAAAAAAGATTAAAATGTCATTCTTATGGGGGCAGGGCACAGTTTAGAGCAAAACCCTTTGGGTTTCTAGTGGAAGTTCACAGATACTGTTTCTGGATATTATAGAAGGCTCCAGAATAAAAATCCCAAACACAGCGATTCAGTGGCCATGAAATGGATTAAGAGGGTTCAGCAATATTTGCAGGGAGACAAAGTCCCTCTACAGTTGTTCAGCAATCACCTTTCTATCTCAGCTGTCTCTGGGTCAAGGCTCCTCCTTGTTCTTAGAGTTGAGGCAGAGTAACATGCTGCATCTTTTAGGGCTGTGGTGAGAACTTTAGGAGATACAGGCTTTAATAGGGCAGAAAATCTGAAGCAAATGCCTTCAAATCAGGTATACAATTATTGAGGTCACAATATGTGTGGGTCCTGGGTTAAGTAGAAACTCAAGTTGTGTTTGTATCCACTAGAGTTAGGAGAAAAAACTGTTTCAACAGATTGTTCCCCATTATTATAAAAATATGGTAAAATAATGTTGACAGATATCAAAAAGTGGAAGAAAATAACCCATAAGATCCCAATCTTAAAATAATTACCATTGTCACTTTACTGTATATTTTTAGACTTTCCTACAAACATTTTAACATTATTCAAGTCATATCTACTTTATATACATTTTTATATATACACACATATATATACATTTATATATATATAATCCTTTCATTGGACTGAGTATAGATATGTTGTTATTGTTAAACATCTGTTGAATTGCATGTCAATTAAGCTGCTTAGAAATGCATAGCAATATCATATTCCAAACTATGACATTTTAAGTTTAATTTGTAATTTATAACCTACATATGTATATGAAAACACATTTTAAATACTATTATCTGTTAACACAAATGTTTCATGAACATTTTCTCTCACATTGATATACCATTTTAAGAATATTATTTACTTTTTATATGAAAATGCTTTCCATTTTTTTGATACTGTAAGACATTACTTGGCAACTTTGCTCATTGTCTTGATTACAAATTGTGTTATTCCAAACAGCATAAAACTATTCCTTTTAGATTATTTTCTAATTTAGGATTCTGCCCTTGGGCTCAGCTCTTCTCTACATTCTACTTACTTGAGTTATGTACTCATGTGTTAAAATATGTTGTTGAGGTGATAGGAGAGAAAAAGCAGGCATACAGAAAGAGAAACTCCCTTCTCCCTTCCTCCGGGTTTCTAATCTTTCTCTAATACTTTTTGCTAGCAGAACATGACAAGAAACCGCAAGGAATGTAGTTTATGGAATTTAGCCTCAGCATCATAAGCATAGTACTGCAGAAGAGTAGATTTGTGTCTGAAACATTTTCTTACTGGGATAAGTAGTGAAGTTAAGAATCTTTTTCCATCTGCATTAGATATTTGCACTTCTCAAGTGAATTGTCTGTCTAATGAATGCCTACTTTACTGTTATCTTTTTCTTATTAGTATACGAAAAAGACACTATAAAAATTTCAGCCTGGGTGTGTGCATGCATGTGTTTATGTTTGTGTGTGTGTGTGTGTGTGTGTATGCTTATGTATGAATAAATGTATATATGTATGTATGTATATATCTGCCTATATATCTAAACACCTATATAGAGATATATAGATATAGAGAGTTCTTCATTTGGATTCTAAGATTCCACACTTACATTGTATTTCTCTTATTCCTATGGCTTTACTTTCTGGGTTGCACATTCTGTTTCCTTCTCACACCACACTGTCATCTAAATGTTAGAGTAATTCAAAATTCAGTACTTGAAATTTCGTTCCTATTTTAAATCACGAATTAGTGATCCTATTTCAGTTTCATGGCTTTAAGAACATCTCTATGATAATGTCTCCCAAATATCTATTTCCAGCCTGAACATCTTTCTTAAATTTCATAACCATATATCCAACTGCCTACTTGACACTTCCATTTGATATCTAAAAACATCTGATATTTAGATTATTCAAAACTGGGATCTCCCAAAAGAAAAATAACCAGTCCTTCTTTAGTCTTCCCCATTTCAGTTAATTGCAACTCCAGATTTCCAGCTTTGAAACCAAAAACTGGGTAATACTTCTTGACTCTCCTCTTTCTCTCCCATCTTGTATTAAGTCTAAGTGCAACTGTTGATATTACACCATTGAATGCTCCCATCGAAAATCATGACAAAGTTCTCCAGTTTGAAAAACAAATATTCTAATCTATTGAATTATACTCAGAATCTTAATATTCTTGAGTTATTGAGTAAATTTTGCTTGATAATGATTTATTAATTATTAGCATGCCTTCAGATATATTTTAATTGCATTTTCCTTGTAACTGTGCATCTATTGAATTCTATCTGTAGTTTTATTTCTTTTTTCCTCACCCAGGACCGGAATCAGCATTATACGCACCTCAAAAAATAAGTTGAATGACTTTCTACCTTTTTTCATGTTCTATAGATTACAGAGAATACAAATTGTTTTAATACATTTGTTGTGTGCTTTTCTATAAAACTTCCCATGTTGCCATTTCTAATGAGATTTTCACTGTGGAATTGATTAAAACTTATATAAGAAATACGGAAAGATATATGTTGAGAGTTATCCTAGACAGGAGAAGGAAAGCTCATAGTTATTGGAGATACTTTGACTCAAACTCTACGTTAAGATAGCTATCTAAGTAAATTGTATTCTATTTTGAATCCAATCTATATTCCTTTGTCTTTTTAAACAACCAATGTGCTTATATAGATCTAACTCAAATACTTTCCAAATATAGCATAACAAACAATTTTTGTTGTGTAATTTTGATCCAAAGCGTTAATATTTGACAGTGATATGACAATGTGAATAATCTATTTCCAACAGACATTTATTCAGCAATAAGGTAGAGATTTTGCTGTTCTAGACACTGTGATAATTAGCAACAATAATGTATATTTCCTATACTCATAAAGCCCCATCATCTGGAATAAATAAAAAAACAACTATTAAAGTACTATATGAAAATATCCTGAAAGAAGTATACACAAGTTCCTGCAGCACCCAGAATAGAGCCATGAATAAAATTAAGAAACATGGACAAAAACACCTTACTATGATTTTAGGTTCTCTGGAAGAATAAGGAAATAGAGATTAGTGGGTTTCCCACCTCAACCCAAGTAAAAAACAAAATCCTTCCAAGACTTGTATCAGCCTCCTGTGATCTGGGCCCCCACTTACTGCTGTCAGCATCACCCTACCATTCTCTCTCTCCTCTTTCTCTCCTCCTCTCCATCTCTCATCTCTGGACAGACTGCCATTTTGTTATTCCTGGAATTCACTATGCATTCTCCATTTCAGGGACATTGCACTTGCTGTTCTCCCTGTCTGGAACTCTATTCTGCCAGTTTTTCATATTGCTCATGTCCTGACACCTTCTAAGTATTTGATCACATATCACCTTCCCAGGGATATTTTTTTCCTGTTTAAAATATTCATTTGTAATCTCTCACATCAGGAATTCTTATATTTCTTGTCCATTTGCATTTTCCTTTTAACATCTATTGATTTCTAATACACTTGCAGTATGCTTTATTTACCTTTTTTATTGTCTTCCTGTGGTAATGTAAGCCCTATGGGGGCATGAATTTGATTGTTTTACTCCCTTATAAGATATATGTGAGTAGATGAATAAATGTACATGTTCCCTCCTGCTTGACCCACCTGCAGTTTCTGTTCTTTATCTGAAGACACTACCTTTTAAGGACAAAAGATTTTGCCATAGAAATTACAAAATGTCATGTCCTTCAGCCCCGCTTTTTAGCAGGATGAGCTCTGTGAGGTTCAGGGTTGTACATCCACACGCCTTCCCTTTATGTTTACCTTTCATGTTAAATCAGGCTACCTTGATTCAGTTTCCTCACTTGCCTTTGCACACTGTGTTCTAATATCCTTCTTTCTTGGGTCTTTGTCTTTATTTTAACTAATGAGTCACAGGTTGGAAAACAGTCTCAGGTCCAGAAACTGGCCAAATCATGGCATTAAGTGAAGGAAACTAGCCTCAGCCTCCTGATCATACACCTCGACTTTGTCAGAGTGAACACATTGAGCAATATTCTTCTTGGTTGTTTTGCATGGAGGCAATCTGTTTGAACTCTCTGGAATACACAATTGATTAACTACCTGGATAATTATCTGAAAATAAGACTTCCTTGGCTGTCACTTCAAACTTATTATTCATTATAATAATTGTGCCCATGTGGCTTCAGACAATTAATTATTTCATGCCTCTTTTATTGATTTGGATCGTAAATTATCCACTCCTCTGAGTGAGTCTAGTTCTCTAACAGCATCCCCTACCATCATTTCCTGTGTTACATAGGAGGACCACCTCATGATTTCTTACCGAACAACGTGCCCCTCTCACAAGCACAATTTTTACAGCAAATGTTGTATCTTCCATATAGTTCTGAGAAATATAGTTATCTAGTAGGTTTCATAGCCTTAAGTAGTATATCCAAATGAACATGCCACCCCTTCGAGACTTTAGTCTACTTTTTTCTAGCTTCCATGATCTGACATATCTAATACATTTGTGTAGGCCATCACTTGTTCTATGCAACTAGGAATTATCGCTGTACTGCAGTGTGTTCACACCATCTCTTGGGGTTTTAGCAGGATGTTAAATTCTGTGTTACAGGAGAATGTTCCTATATTGATAAGTCTCTTTTATTGAACTATATATTTTGCCCCTGCTTGGTCCTAAATCCTCAGAATTTGGATTCATGTACACATCTGCTGATATATGTTGGCAGGACTACATTCCAAAGGACCTAAGCCCTTCAGTTCCTTTGGAATATAATCCATTTCTTACACTAATAGTTCCATCTCATGCCCATCTGGATTATATAGTTTCTTAATCGCAGTAATTGAGCCAGTGGCCAGGAAAGAAGATGGGGACATATTTGGAGAGGGACAACATGCATTATTGCAGAGAAAAGGTCTCTTCGTTTTCTCCAAGCATTGGGAGAGTACTCAACCTTAACAGGGAAAATTAGGCTACTTCTACATGCTCAGGGGGCTTAACTAAATTTGGTGATTTTAAATTTCCAAGTGAATAAGTCCAAATGTCTCTAAATCCAGTGTCAGATCCCATTCTTATGAACCAGGAAGAAATGTACCTGACTTTTGGATGGCGGATCTGCCTTTCTTGATATTAAGTTGTTCTTTAGAGCCCAGTTACTCTTACAAGTAAGTTTAAGGTGTGGTTTTCATCGTGCTCTACTGCTAAAGGAGATTTGAGCCTATCAATAGACTACTAAGGAGGCCCTCTGGCTTACATATTTAGTATTTAATTGCAGATTAATAGTTATCATTGCTCAAAGCATTAATTAGCAATACAAACTGTATTTCATTGTCCTCATAGTTACAGTTTCCTCCAGATTAATAGAGTACCTGATACATCACACCATTTAATTTATTCTCTTTGACATTATCCGATCATAGTTGTGTACTGTGAACATTTTACAATTGTAATTTTACCTTTTTTCAGGGACTTTCTGTTCTCCATCTGTAACTTGGGATGTGGTCATAATTACCAGCCAGGTAGTGGGTTACCAAGCTCAAAATCCCTTCTTAGGATCTGCTTCATCAAATTACTCTTGGCATCAACTGTTGAATTTGAGTTCTCTGGAAAGCAGACTCTGAGGCTGAAATGAGAATGCAGGATATTATTAGCAGACGCTTTAAGGACCAATACCTGTTTAAATAAAATGAACAAAAGTACTATTGAGAAGGGAGGAGTTAAGCTTTGATTTAATTCTAAACAAGTCAGAAACTGACTTGTGAGGATTTCTCAAGCTAGAATAGACCTTTAAAATTTTCTCCAGGTGGAGATAGGGTGGTAGGGCTACATAGTGGTAGGGCTATATAACCTTACTTGCTCAGTCACTGGTTGTAGGCTGACCCTGGAAAGAAGGGTAGATTTGAATAAGACTGTTTTCATCAGCCAAGACCATCCCTAAATGGTCTTCTAGCAATAGTTTCAGCAGCTGAAGGAAAACTCTTTATTCCTGAAGGGGTGCCAGGTCAGTACACCATAATGTCAACCATGGGTTCTAGCAAACTCATCTCACTTTACACACAATGGTTGTCTATCATATGGAAGTAGATTTTGAACTCTAACATTCTTTTGCTAACTGCTCCCCTTGAAAATGTGTTTGTCTATATTTTCCACTTACTACATTTTATTGAACAAATTTAGTAGATGTCTGTCTCTTTATTTAAACTCTAAATAACTTTAAAGCAAGGGCTGTTTTATTACTCAATGTTTTTCCTGTGCAAAGGATATCATACCCTGACAGCCTTACCTCACTGAGACAGAAAATTATAAGAAGTATTATTTTTTATAAACATAACATTTCCCTCATTTGATTTTATTAATTAATTTAGTAAATGCTAATACATTTCTACTGTCTTTCTGGTGTTATGCTCAGTAGCTGAGGGATGAGAAGTTAATCAAATAGTTAATATCCTTTCCTTAATGAACTATGTATCTATTTATTTGTGTGAAATATGTGTATGTACATATATATATATATACATACACTTTGTACAAGATTCATATCTGCCCTTTAAATATTCTAATGCTTCTGTAAATATCTTTAAATCCAGAATATCCTATAAAAATTTAACCCTTTGCAAGGATTGTACTAGAGCTCATTCTTCTGCAAATTCATGCACTATGCTAAAAGCTAGCTAAGCATTCATATAAAAGAAAACTATGAGATAATTGCCACTGAAAATTTAAGCAAAAGTTATCACAACAAGATAAAAATAGCAATTCAGAGATACCCTTCTGATATGACATTAAAGTGTAATAATATCAGGGTATTACAGGAGGTCTGCTCCGAGTGAAAATCAATGAATTGAATTTGCAAGGCAGAAGGACTGTTATATTGAATTTAGGCTAAATAATAGTCAGAATCAGAAATTCTGTTTTTGTGTGTTTCCATTTATGACAATAAAACTTATAATATTTTTGTTTTATACTCTCATCCGTGTTTTGTCCTTTAAACAATCACCCCTATAATTCTCTATCACCCATCACTTTTGTTGTGATTTTTGAGCACTTGTTTCATTGCAAACATAGTACATACCATCCATGATGTATGCAAACTATGACCCTACTCCCTAGCCTTTCAATACATAATTTCCCTCTAAGGATACTGTTTCCATAGTCTGCTCTCATACTGGCTTTTTTGTAAACTCATGTATTTTTCCCTTTGTATTATTTTACTTTTTTAAAAAATCAAATTACTCATTTTTCTGCCATTGAATTATATGAGTTCTTTATAAATTTTGGATATGAACTCCTCATCAGATATATGACTTGCAAGTAATTTTTCCACTTCATAGGTTGCCTTTTCATTTTGATTGTTTCCTTTGCTGTTCAGAAGCTTTCTAGTTCAATGTAATCCCATTTATTTAGTTTTCTTTTTTCTAGCTTGAGGTTTTGGTGTGTTATTCCAGAATAAAATTTACTACTTAACCTTTATTTTCTTTTATTATCCAGTGTGAGTTTAATGTTCATGTGGAAACTATATCCAATTCTTCATTTAATCTCTTTTTCTTTGCAAATGCCTTAATTGTTCATTTACTGTGGCAAAAAGTCTTGTCATCAAGTAGAACTATTCACTTTTTTTTTTTTTTTTAACGTAGGCTAGATGCTAAATGATGTAAGGGCATTTCACACCTGACACTACAGCACTGGAAGAAACCAAATGCCCCTTCACTTCCACAATCATAGTCCGGTCTTTGTTTCATGCAAAAACTGCTTTAGTGTTTTAAGTGGTTATCTAATCCTTTGGCTCTGCCTTTGAATTCAACTTCTTAGGGATTATGAGGGTTTCATTTTGTTTGGTTTTATTTGCCTGCAATACCAAATTAATCACACTACTGTATTTTATGAATTTCTGGTTATAAACACCAGAGTAAAGACAATTTTAGTTTATTATCCTACACTAAAACTCCCTAAAAGTAACAAAGTGTTATAAGTAACAAAATTTTAAGTTATTTAATTCCAAAAAATGCAAATCAGCAAAATATTCATGAAGATCAAAACTACAGCATACATTGTTTTTGCCTTTTTCTATAATAGCAAACAGTCCTATTTAGCCAAAATTATGTTCTCCTGTCATATCTCAGTTACTACCAGTTGAATGAAGTTCGATGAGTTACTTTTGAATATTTTCAAGACAGAACTCTGTTTTAGTCTTCATCTGTAAAATGTCAATGCTTTGGACAAGAAGATCTGAGGTCTGTTTCAGTGCTAATACATTAGTTTCGTTTTCTGCCTTGAGTCTTAGTAGAAAGGAATAAGCATAGAGAGAGAGGAAAAGATTGGAACAGAAAAGAATGAGAACAATGGATGTAGACTGAAGCAGGCACACAGATCTTATTGAAGTGAGAACAAAAATAATAGCAAATGACAGAAACAGAAATATGACCTTCAGCTGTGGTTGATATTATCTGTAAACTTCCTTTTTTAATTCAAAACAAACTTCTCATCATACCAATGGGAAGGTCATAGTTAGGATTCTGGGAATATATTAAGAGAAGAGAGGTGAGTGAAGGAGATGGAGGCAAAAAGGATGAACTAACCTACTAACACATTGCACAAAAACTAAAGCCAACATTGCACATAAGAGATCTTTGCAGAATTTATTAAGTTTAATCCTTAAAGCTCAATAAACCTCATAGTTTTTAAGCCCTTTCCCTCAAATTCAATTCTTTCTCCAATACCCCATTCTTCAACCAGCACCTCTATCTTTCTTATTGCTGTTTCTCAGGAGGTCTAACTTGCTCTTCTGACATGTTTTCTCTCTATCCTTGCAAGCATTTTCCCTTAGAAAAGAGACAAAAGATGCACCTCGTCTTTGAAGCATCCAGTTTGGGGTTATTGATTTCATTTCCTGCTGCTTGTCTCTGCTTAGCCAGCACCAAACTTTCACATGTGAAAACAGATTGAAATGAACAAACAAAAAGGGAATTTTAAAGAATCACAAGGAACAGAAAGTTAGACCTGAAAAGGCTTTTTATAAATCTGCTAGTTCAAGTCCATCCTTTTACAGATGGATGTGCTGAGGCGAGATGGGAGAAGGAACTTGCTGAGGGTCAAACCTGTTGTGCAGATTTAATCAGATACAGTATTTCAAATGTTGTCACTCTGTGGGGTTTATCACTCAACAGCAAAAAGTGCCTGCTGGAGCTGTGTCTATTGCACAGTCTTAATTCTCCTATGCCACTTATGGGATACACTATGCCCAATCCTGTATTCCCAAAGTAATTCTGTTATTAGAAATTTAAAAAGTCCTGGTACAGAATTATCAAAGTGCTTCTGCTGTGCCTCTGTGTTCCACATATAGTAACAGGTTTCTGAATCATTTCCCCGTGGACCTTGTTCTCTCATTTTTCATTATGCTTCTGAAAGTTTGTTTTCTTTATGTATCCCTTTTATTTCTTTGTACTTTAAGTCCCACAGTAGTGTGTTATTTTCATAAAGTATTTTTATTCGCATTTTATCCACTATCTTGAAATTTTTTCTCAACAATGTCCTTTATTGTATATTCAGCTGTCTGAACATCTTGCCTTGTATCTTTTTTTTTCTACATAAACCATGTTTTCTTGAATTTATCTCACAATAAAAAGGAGATGCTATGTAAGATTCATATCTGGTTGATGCAATGAGTTTTTTTTTCCAGAAATACCTTTTCTCTTTGTCTCTTAAATGCTCTTTTTCCATGAATTACATATAGAAAATAATTTTAAATAAAATATGTTTCAAAAACCATGTATTAAAATAGCACATCTCTATGTCAAATGGTTGACTTACTCATGATAAGGGCACATTATTTTCTGAGAACCTAAAGTTTAACATTATTTTACTTAAACATTATTTTTCTTAAAAATATTATTTTGATTTTTTTCAACATTTTTACGTGTTATCAAGAATGGGTTCTATTTTAAAATATTTTTAACACTTATGGAAATAAAAAATCGAAATGAGAAAAAGATAGACATGTTTGTTAAAAGGAAACTTCACTCCCAGAGACATAATTATTATTAAATGTTAAATTATGAATGATCTTTCAAATACCAATTTAACAATATATTTTTAACCATGCTATATAATTTTCCAAAATACTTTGTTTAGAATTGAATATACAATTGACAAACTTAAATCCATCATCATCTGATGAAAGCTACAGATTTCCAAAAATGCCTCACATACAGTTTATGTGATCTATGCTTTCATGAGTCTACTTTGTAAATAGTTGAATGAATTCATAAAGACAAAATAAAATTAATTTATTTATATTGTTTTATATCTTCAAAACCACAACATCTGGAACAGACATGCTAAATTGTTAGCATTTTGGAAATATGTGAATTAGGTTAAGTATTTAATTACATTATTTTATATACGTTATAGACGCTTAAAACTTCTTACATGAAAAGTAATTAAATATGTGAAAATAGCCTTTACGAAAATAAAAGAGAATATTTCTCCCAAATACCTAGTGAAAAATCAGGAAGAAGATATACATCATAAATAACAAATAAGACCCACACAAAACTATAAGATATTGATAGAAGTGAGTCCTACCATGTATGAAAGACTTTAAATTAATCCCCCTATGAATTTACAAATAATCTAAAGTATCTCTAAAATCAAATCCCATCAATATGTTATTTAGATAATAATACCTAAAACAAAATGACATACAAGGTAAGGATAAAACAATGAGCAAACTTCACAGGAAAAAAAATTAAAAATATCAACATGAATTTTAGACAAAGTAAAATTCAAAAAATAATATTCAAGAAAATTAAGAACAAGCTGCATAATATATTGAGAAATGATATTATTGATAGAATTTTTATTTCAAGTATAAATATATGACAAACAATTTTCAGCAAGAATCCACCACAGGATTTTTTTTTTTTTTTAATAATTGCACTCTATTACCTAAAGAACTTAAGACTGCTCAAATTCATGTAGTACAAAAGGATCTTTTAAAATGGTAGAGATATAATTTCATAAATAAAATAAGGCCATATAGGTCTAAATAAAACAAGGATAAGGAGGATATGAATAATTGACTCAAAAATGATTTATTAATAATAAACATTGTGTTCGGCTTGCAAAAGGGTTGATATTCTTATCATGGACCCACAGAGCATTTAGAAAATGTCATCATTTTATAAGCTGCAAAGAAACTGTCACCAAGTTCCAAAATGTACGTGTTTTGCAATAAAATATGTTATCATCTGGACACATAAATGAGACTATGGAAATACTGGTGGAATCAGCTAAACAATGAATAAATACTTACTAAATAAAGATACAGATCATTCCTTAAAACAGTGTATTTCTTTATGAAAAACTGCTACATGCTCATATACAAAATTATGTTACATTAGTAGGTGAGAAAGTTATAAATAAGTTTTTCAAAAATGAGTGCCCAAAGAGATATTTGAAAATATCACACACATGGCTGAATATACATTTTAAGACTGTTTTTAATGGCAACACCAAAATTCTAGCAAAGATTTGTTTCACTTATAAATAGGTCATAACCAGCATGTGTAACAATCACAAAACCTCAGTCTCATTCAATAATAAACACTTATTTTTGCTCATGTGTCTATGGGTCAGTTGGGTTGCTCTGTTGATCTCAGCTGGACTTGGTAAGATTTATGCATAACTGATCAGTTGCAATGAGCTGTGTGGCTTTGCTAATCTTGCTGTGATCTCTTCCATGTCTGATGCCTCACTGAGAAGACTTGGTCCTTCTCCTCACTGTGGTCTTACATCTTGCAAAAGGATGTTCCAGGCTAGTTTACATATAGTACAATCATGAACACATACAAGTACATGTTCATGCAGAAGTACACAAGCCTCTTGAGGCCCAGACTTGAAACTGTCTCATCATTTCCACCATGTAATTAGTCTGTTTTCACACTGCTATAAAGACATACCCCAAATTGGGTAATTTATAAAGAAAAGAGGTTTAATTGACTCGTAGTTCTGCATGGCTGGGGAGGCAGGCCTCAGGAAACTTACAATCATGGCAAAAGGAGAAGAGGCACCTCTTACATGGTGGCAGGCAAGAGATAGTATGTGAAAGCAGAGAAAATGCTATAATTTATAAAACCATCAGATGTTGTGAGAATTCGCTCACTATCAGGAGAACTTCAAGGGGGAATCCGCCCCTATAATCCAATCATTTTTCTCCGGTCACACTTGGGGATTACAATTCAAGATGAGATTTGGGTGGGGACACAAAGTCTAATCATGTCACACCACATTCCCTTGGACAAAGCCAGGCACAGGATGAATTCACTCACAACTGGTGAGCACTACAAAGTTATAGGGAAAAGGGAGAGGATTAAACAAAGGAATAAACTGAGACCACTAGAGTAATTATTCTACCACACTTACTAAATATAACATTTATTCATGTATTCATTTATATTTTCTACATGGGCAATTAATGCCATATTAAAAATATAGTTCTATTTATTACTTTTCTGATCCATATACCTTTTATTTATTTTTTGTGCCTAATTACACTGGCTAGGAACAGGAATAAAATTTTCTCCTTTAGCTTTCTTATCATTCCAACATTATCTATGTTTGCTCTAAAATTTAATTAGATAACTTTTATAGAACATTTTCTTCTATTGGTAGCTAACAATTGAATTTTATCAAATTATTTTATTTCTATTGAAATTGCCATATAATTTTTCTTCTTTCCACTGTTAATATGACAAATTACATTGAAAGTGTTTCACACCCGACTTGATGGCTGAGCAGGAAGGGTTGACTCAGGAGGTATGAGGTGTTCAAATGCTTTCATTTCAACGAAAGTTCTGGCCCTAGACTAGCTTCTGAAATATTCTGCCTGCTAAAATTGTCTTTGCTTATCTGAGGCCTTGAGTCATACCAGATAGTTGTGCTAACAGTGTGATTTATGGTGGGGGCCATGGGCCAAACAATACCAGTTTGATCTGCTGTTGTGAGACTGGACACTGAGTAATTAAAGTCAGTAATGTGGGCACTACATGCCTAAGTGACTGACACTTGATGGAATCCTGAACACTATGGCTCAGGGAACTTCCCTGATTGGCAATAATCCATATATGTTGTCACACTTTGTCACTGGAAGATTAAGCACATTCTGTATGACTTCACCATGAAAGGAAAACTGGAAGCTTATGACTAGTCTCTCCTGGATTCTGCCCTATGCACCTCTTTCCTTTGTTGATTTAAATCTGTGTCTTTTTGCTGAAATAAACCATAAAAGTCAACATAACAGTTTTTTGAGTTATAAAATTATCTCTAAAAAATTATAGTATTCTTGGAGATCTCTGAAACATTCATGATGTATTACCCTTTTTATAGGTTACTGATTCTGAGTTGCTAATCTGTTTAGCAATTTTATATTTAATTCCAATAGAGAGTTTGGCCCTTGATTTTCCTTTTTGTAATGTAGTGTCAAGTTTTGTTTTACTTACATTTGTGTCTTATGAAATTAGTAGTAAAATATTTATTCTTTGCACTATCTGAAAGAATGTGTATAATATTGGTATTATTTTTGCCTTAAATGATTCTTAGAATTTAAAATTTCTAACTTGGGAAGCCATTTTAACATGGATTTTTTTAATAAAGATTTATTGTTATGTATTTTATTTAATAAACTCAAATTTTCTATATTTTATTAGTTTTGATAAATTGTGCTGGTCAAGAAATTTATCTAAATTTTATCTAAATTTTTAAATTTATTAATACAAAGATTTTATATTTCCTCAGGATTTAATGCTTCTAAAATCCTTAATAATATCACTTGTTTATTTCTGACGTTGGTTATCTGTGTCACAGTTTATACTTGATTACTCTTAACTTAGTTTTATCATGTTAGTAAATTTTTTATGGATTCAACTTTTGACTTTGTTTTCTCTATTGTACATTTTTATTTAATTGTTAATTTCTGCTCATTTATGATTTTCTTCCTCTTAATTTCGTTTAGTTTACAATTTATTATTCAACATGTTGATATAAATATTTAAATACTTTATATTTAGGTTTTTTGGTTTTACAACTGAATATTTAAAACTCCAACTTTCTGTTTAAGAATAACTTTGTTTCCTGATGGTGTAGATATTCATATCAGCAATTAATATTATATTTTATTTAAAGTATAACTAAATGGTAGCATTTAGATATGTATTGCTTAATTTGAAAATTCAATGGAAATTTTCTATTTTTATTTTGATTTTGATTTCTTGATGAATTTTACCATAGTCAACGAACCCAATACATATAGTTTTAATCCATTTTTATTGGTAAAGATTTGTTTTATGATTTCAAATATGGTCAAATTTGTAAATTATCCTTATTTTGCAATCAGTTTTGAAAAAAATTTTTTTTGGTGTAAAATTTTGAAAATTACGTACACTTGACTGCATTTCAGGGCAAAGTTGATGATTTGGATTTCAACGATTCAGGTCGCATTCTCACATAAAATTTACAGAGAGGCAATAGTTAGTTCTATGCTCCAATTTACTTATTTTTTCTTTTGTTATTAAATACAGGGTTTCTCTCTCACAATGTTAGTACTTTCAAAGCTCATTTGCTACAATTTTCTCGAAGTTTTTCTACAATGTAATGTCAGATTTTATATTTTAGTAAATGCGCACAAACATCTACACATTTTGTTTTCAAATTTTCCAACTTTAAAACTCCCTCCTTAAAGTTGCTCTCTTCACTGTGACTTTGAAATCCACAAAGGATAGCTCCAATTTTACCCACAGAAGTAGATAGCTATTTAATAAAGCTATATATAACCTCATGGATGCATCTTCAATAATAATCAGTCAGTGACTACTTTTCATTTTTAGTCACATATTCTTTGTTCAAGATTGGTGACAATAAGGCACCATATATTAATTCAACTGGTTCATCAAATATTTTTGAGCATACACTATTAGTTACATTTGTAGGATACTAAATTATGCAAGAAAGATAACATCTGTAGCTTAACAGATTTTATGTTCGGTTGGTGGAAATGGATAATCAAGCCATTTCAATGAAAGAGTATAAATGTGATGCTTTGATAAATATAAAGTAAGTATAACATGTTTGGAAAGATGAGCTGTACAGAGAATGTTCAAATCTATGAGGAGGTTTCAAGCAGAACAAACAGCATGTTATTAGTGCTACAGACAGAAGCAGCACATCAAGTTGGAGAATAAGTTTTGCAGATTTTTTTGAATTTTGGCAGATAGATAAAACTGGAGATAAAATACAGTACATTATATTGCTTGTGCTGTAGATAATATAGGCAGTAAGTAACTCTATTCTTACTGATAACTTACTGTGTGTTTTCAGTGAAAATTGAATTCTTAAATTTACTCCCATTTTCTGTTCATTTTAGAAAGAGTTGATCAAAGAAAAAATGATTTCCTTTGATTTGTACCTGAAACATGTATTTAGGAGAAAATCTTTTCATAACAGATGTACTGTATAAAAATATCAGGATGCACTGAAATCACTCATATCCTTCCTTTTATGACATGATTGCACAGTTAATTATATACATCCTAAACATGTAAAGAAAAGAGAACAGATGGCAAAGCCTTAGTTTAAAAAGAGATAAGTCCGTGAAAATAACTTTATTCATCATATCTTGAATTACTTTGCTCAAATTATTTTGTTCTATGGATCAGAAAATGATACTTCTATTGAAGAAAAAGGAGAATTTAAGAGCATAATCCTGATATCAAAGTCACTGAAGTGTCCCAACAAATGTTACATCACTGCTATTGCTGGTGAAGAATACACAGAAGGAAATATTTCTTAAATGTCCGTAATGAACAAAACTTTGCCGGAAAGAATATAATAAACTTCTGAGTTAAGAAGACAGCTATTTGTAATTTTAGAATACTTTGTAACCCACATATTATATAAATGAAATTATAGACCCAACAAACACTCACTATAATAGGCCATTGAAGAGAGATGGGCTTTGAGGAGAGATCCATTCCTCCCTTAAAATAAATACATATATTTCCTACACAAAAAAATAGCTTATTTTCTAGGCTTTTATAATTCAATGAAAGCATACTTGTAACCATCTATTTGCTCATGTGGAGATCTGGTGGCATTTTATTACCTCTTCCTCACTATCTGGCCATGGATTCAATTTTCCAATCACATTAACTTTTTCTAAAAGCAGTCCCTAACCTGTTTTCTTGAATCCATTCTTACCAACATACAATTTATTCTCTTCATAGTTTCTGGGGGATCTTTTTAAAATGTTAATCAGACTTTGCAAAATCTGTGGTTAAAACTTTTTAATGGTTTGCTATTTCCTTTAGGAAAAACCCAAATCTTACAAATCCTTACATCTTTTAGCATCTGTCTTATTCTACCACTACTTCTGGTATTTTAGGTTCAGTTCATTAGCAACATAGGATATAAAGAGTCAATGCAAAAAATTTAGCATCAAAGTATCAAATTTAAGCATCTAAGCTTAGTCAGGGTAGTTGTAGGGATTCAGTAAAAAGTACATCTTTTACTCTAAATGCACATTTTAATATGAAATCTATAAATTAGGTCTCTTTAATAACAGTAGATGATTTGATTTTTGTTAACAAGAGATATCATAGTTATATATTTTCTGATCTTTTAAATTTATAAGGGACAAGGATTATGTCTGTTTTGCACACCATTCTTGTTAGATGCTCCGGCTTCTGCCTGTCAAAATACTTGGTAGAGTGATTAAATATCAGGAATGAAGGAATCATATGATTAAGCATAGAACGGAGCCCAAGTATTGTTTCAGTTATGTTTTCTTTCAGGACAGGATGTTAGCACAATCCATTGATTGTTTAAGGGCTATATTGATTCCATTTCTTAGACTTAAGACTAGCTGGAATCCGTGGTAGACTCCTTTTCTCCACTACAGTAAATTGAATCTTTCATATTTCCTTCTCTTAAAAAAATTACCACCTCAATTAGCACTTACTTTACGAGCATCCCTGCTATATGTAACACACAGTGGTTGCTAGATTTGTGCTAAGGAGAACCATGGCAGAAAGCTATTGTATGAGTTATCCTGATCTTTCAGGCAGCTCCTAACCCCTGTGCTCCATATTTATAAGAGATGCCAGCCCTGCTGTAAAAGGATGATCAGATATGAAGGCAGGCCATTCCTTCTGTCTTGTATAATGTTGCCTTTATTATGAAATGGAAACTTAAAAACATATTAAAGGAAGGAACACAGTAGTCATGACATTTATTGTTGTGATACATTCTGTACCACATCTTACAGATGACCACCAAACTTTTACACTTCTTAACAGCCCTATTTTATCTTTGATACGTTTTTCTTAGTCCAGGTGGGTAGCTTCATTAGCCTCCCTGCCTGCTGCATGCCTACACACCACAGAGCTGGAAGTGTTTGATTCTCTACTGTTGTAGAGCATATAAAGGCAGAGGAAGGGAAACCTACTGGACCTCTATAGAAATTTACTATGGCTACACTGAGAGAAGCAGCAAAGTCTCTGCAGCCTCCCTCAGGATTGAAAAGGTATCTTAGAGGACAGCTGGCAGCTATTCCTTCCCAATGGAATCAGTTTTTTTCCCCCACTGTGAAGGCAGGAGGCAATCACCACAAAATTTATTCGTGAATTTTGTGAAATACAAAACTACTTGAATCTTAATCATTCTGGGAGATGAAGGAGTATTTCCAGGATCAATCCCAAAATGGGCATCAGTTTCTGGACCCTCAGCCCCATTATGTTAGTTCTCCTTTGATCTGGGTCTCAGATTACACAGGTTTGTTACTGATTAGCTATTTATAATGAGCCTTGTTGCTGCTTGCCTTTTTATCTGAGTCCAAAGCCATTGAAAGAAACTTCATATGTATATATACATATATATATGTGTATATATACATATACACATACACATATATATATACACACACACACACATATATATATATATATTTTTTTTCCCATTTTCCCTTTGGAAAGAAACAGTGTTCTTGGCAGGACTGGCAGGGTCTTGTCCCAAAGGGTCTTCAGCAATCCACTGGCCTAAAATTTAATTTCAGCTTCATGGTGCCTTTATCCAGTCCTTCTATATAACTGAAGTTCTATTTGCAAATATAAATCTGTTTAGGTGTCTAGGTTTTTGAGTTCTTCAGTCTCCTCCACTTCTTTGATAGGGCTGAACTGAGCAGGCTTGAGCACTCAATGTGTGAAATAGTTGGGAAAGACAAGGCCAGCCAGGAGGGGCTTTTTGCAATGGACCTAACAAGATTTGGAATTGACCCTAAAGTGTGATTGGAGAGTGGTTATGCTGATGTAAATATGCTGGATGGTGGATGACAGGCCAGTGAATCACTGGCATTAAAGGATGGGCCCTTATTAGTGGAATATTTATGCCCTGAGAGAAGGTATGGTTAAGTAAAGAGGTGGAAACCAGAGCCATACAGAGGTCTGACAGCAAGAGGATTTCAGGATCTGAGTGTGTTCTGGTGGAAGAGAGGAAAATGTGTTATTGGTGTGAAAAAAAAAAAAAAGCCCCTTGGAAACATGGACTTCCGTAGCAAACTGTGCCCTGCAGGAAGAGAGGTGCCCAGAGGTAAAGGAGAGAGCAAGGAAAGTGACAGAGTGGTCAGGCCAGAGGCAACAAATCCTCAGATGACAAAGAGGAGTCCAGAATTGAGAGTAATAAAAGGGGAAAATGGAAGGAGTCAGGGCCTAATGGATGAGAGGATACATAGCAAAGACGAAACAGCTGGTGGAGGGACAAACATAAGATTAATAAGCAATGAAAAAAGCTGTGTGACAAGGAGTATCAAGCAGAGGATATGGAGGTTTGAGTGGAAAAAGTGAGATGGAAATGTGGGGCTGATGTTAGAGTGGCTTCTGGTGGTAGGCATAAGACCAGAGATGAAGGCAGATGTTATAATGTAAATGTGGAGACCATTGTGCAATAAAGTTAAAATGAGAAAAATGGAAAACATGAGGGAGCAGAAGACAGCCAATATGTGGTGCAGTGAGGGACAATGGACCTGAGAGAAGCAGCAAAGTCTCTGCAGCCTCCCTCAGGATTGAAAAGGTATCTTAGAGGACAGCTAAGGATACCTTTCTTGGCATCACCTGCCAAGAAATTGTCAAACAGTATAGTTTTTTTGAGAAGGCTTCCTCACAGGGCCAAGTAATTGGGTCTCTATGGGAAACAGTGAGCAGACAAAGACAAGTTCTAGAATGGTCTCAGATACAGGGGCTACTAAGTGGTCTCTCATAAAGTCTGGAAATAGGATGAAGACCAGAGTTTGACATGATATGTCATGAAAGTTCTAGATGCAAAGGAAACACAGCAGCATTAACATCTTTCCTGGGGTCCTTCTACAGCTGATGATGATCTATGGCAATTGGAAATGCACATAGCTCACAGCAGGTGTCTCAACAATGTCTGGCATTTCCAAGGTGCTTCTACATGGAATTTCAAAAGACAAAATGTTGCAGCTACAGCAAGAAGTATAAGGAAGCAGGGGAACGGCCTGGTGGGCCTGGTAGGGCTCTGTGCACCTGATGCATAATGTCTAAACATAGTATGTGCATCTCTGACTTTACAATATATATTTTACCCTAATTCTATGGTTTTCTTAAACTTTAGACATTCTTTTCCTGTATTGTCCTCTTTCTCTTATCCACCCTAGACTGCTATGCGACCCTGGAATAGCACAGCCTGTGCTCAAAAGGGTAAAGAAGAAAGAAGGAAGAGAGGTGAATTACCTTTTCTAAGAATAGGCATGCACTTTGTCAGTCATCACAGCTCCTCCCTAGTAAGCTTTCCAAGCTGGGAAACAAGGAAACTGGGTTACGTGTAATAAAGATAGCAGTCAAAATATTTTTGATGGAGCTGCATATAATAGCTTTTTGGGGAGGTGTTTTGGGGTTTTACACCCAGAAAACTCCAAGAATGAGTATGAAGTGTAGATTAGTCAATGGGAATAATGGGAAGACTCACACATGTATAACACTTAATCATTTATCAATAATTTTATGTAAATTGTCTAATTTGTTCCCCACAAATATCACGTGAATTAAGCGGAACAAGTGTTATTTCAAAGAATGAATCTCAGGTTTAGCACAATGTAATAGCCTGAACTATAAACTACTTGCTCACAACAGAGCCCAGAATCCCTGAATCCAAAAACTACCATTATTGCACCCAATCACACACATTCCCCATCTCCAGTTCATTCTTTCATTGCAGAGGATGGGAAGGCCAGGAATGTAAGCAGTGTCCCAGGTTCTAATGACTCTCTCATCATCTTTCCTCCACTGATCAGCAACTCTGTAGTCCTTCAAAGGGTGAATTCTTCCTGAGAATGTTTGCTAAATGGTTGATTTATACCCCAAATCTCTGCTCTTAATTTCAGTTCCCCCATATAGTATCTTCTTTTGGCATACCTCAACTTAGGTCAGAGTTTTTCTATACCATAATTATTGACACTTCGGGGCTGATAATTTTGGGAAGCGGGGCAGGGCTGTTCTTTTGTGGATTGTAGTATTATACCATCATGCCTGGCTTCCAGCTACTAGGGAATAGTAGGGTCTGCCCCTCCTCTACCATGACAGTCAACGGAAAGACCCCAAGACAATGTCAAATATTCTGCATTAGGCATACAAAAGTGGAACTCTCAATTGTAGAACTTGTAGTACTTACACTTTCCATAACTGCACTTTCCATAATTTATTTCCAGTATTTCTCACTGATGATTATTTGAGAATATTAGGGAAAATATGAATCATCTCTGAACTGTGAAGAGAAAGAGAGTTAGGAGTTGGGGCCTTTTTATATCAATACAATAACTGGCATTATTATGATTTGGTTAGCTGATAAAATATATTTCAGCAGTCTGTCAAAATGCATGATTACTTCATTACTATTTAAAATATAATTACACCACAGTCTTGAAAAGAAAACTACTGAATTTTTTTTCTGGTAGAAAAAATTAATTAGCTTTGCTATTAAAATTTTATAGCATTTTTCTAAAATTATTACTAATTAGAAAGAGCCTGGATTTATAGTACTGAGTTACTTCAATATATTTATATGGAATTTAAACTTATTAGACAAATTGAGGAAATTTTTACTTTCTTCCAAAATGTTCTGTTCTAGGGTCTTTGTTGGCTACAACATGACGTCACTTGACTTTCAACTCTGAATTTTAAAGAAATATGGTTATATTATTTAAGTTGCACCATTCATTTTTATTAAATGTGTTGTATTCCTTATGATCTTCTAACACAGGCACTGTAAGAGCACTGTCACCCAGGCTGCAGTGCAGTGGCATGATCTCACCTCACCGCAACCTCCACCTCCCAGATTCAAGTGATTCTCCTGCCTCAGCCTCCCGAGTAGCTGGAATTAAGGTGCATGCCACCACACCCAGCTGATTTTTGTATTTTTAGTAGAGACAAGGTTTCACCATGTTGGCTAGGCTGGTTTCGAACTCCTGATCTCAGGTATTCTGCCCGCCTCAGCATCCCAAACTGCTGGGATTACAAGCATGAGCCACTGTGCCCGACTGAATGGAAACTTTTTTACAACTACATATATGCAAAATGTCACTTTCCTGGCAAGGAGGACATTAGTTGTCCCCATAAGTACGTCACTGATATGAAATAGACTACATAATAAATACACTAGACTCCAACACCCTTATATCTAAACTTTGGAATGATAAAATATAAAAGTTTGCTGCCAGAATACTAGTGCAATTAAAACCTTACTAATTCCCATAGGTGCCACTATTTTGGAAAAAGCCACTTACAGTCAAATTCCAGGAATTTCTTTAAAAGCTTTTCAGTGTCCATGCCATTTCTCTCATTATTCTAAGTTTTTTATATTTTGCACTGTGAAGGAGATATGTTTTTGCACAACACACAATGGTCCCTGCACTCACTGATCCACTGAAGGAACCAAGCTCATATAGAAGTAACTACCATACAGAACAGTAGACATTATGGTTGAAATTTGAATAATGTAGAGTAATAGCAGAAAAATAATGAAATCTATTCCAAAAGCTACAAAGATTATCAGAAAATTCTGGGTGAATGTGACATTTATTTTCTTCAAGACATACAGCTAAGTAAATCCTCTGTGTACAAGAACAAGAACTCTGCCTAGAGTAGTGTGAAGCAAAATACTCTAGGCAGAAGGGGAATATGTGAGAACAGAGAATAATAGTAAAACTTGTTATTCTCTTCCCCTAAACATTTAATAAATGTTTCTAAACCCTCGAAATACATTGTTATTCTGTTTTAAATGTGCCTATAACATAGATGTGAGCCCATCCTATTTCTTGACCTATTCCAATATGTAAATTCCTACCAAGAAAGGAAAAATTGTCCTCATACCACTTATTAGAAAATGTCCTGTTGGCTCTTTCTCACCTTCATTTTTTAGTGTCGTGCTTTTTTGCTTTATAATTCCTCTTCTACCTGTTACCATCACCACTCAAGAAATAAACGAATAATAAACAAATAAATGGCACCACAGGGCCATTCTATGGAAACTGCATATCCACCTTGAGATTTTCAAGTCATTCCATCTTATCTTGGGTGGCCGTTGCATCCCAAGGGTTTTTGGCTTCTTTATTTTAACATCATCTTTATCTGTGGACCAATATTTCCCTGTTTAAAATGTAACAGGGATACTGTGTCCTGTCCTGGCCTTGACAGATTAAAATCTTCTGTGTAAGTATTTCTGCTTTTTCTGTTATATAGAGGGCATATCCTAAAACCTTAACTATTTTTTCCTTGAAATGGCAATTGCTACAATTGTAACTCCTTATAATTAAGTATTCAATTTATGCTTCAAAAGAGTGGTCAAATCAGGTAACCTTTAAGGCTCCTTCCAACCCCAACATTATTTAGTTCCATATGCTATTCTCTGACATGGAGGAACTTGAGGAAGGGGAAGCTTTTATAGTTAATTCCCTATAATTTTCTCTGTTCACTGTCAAAAAGAATGATTACTGTAGTAATCTGTATCCTAGAGGAAGGAAAAAAAAAGGAAATAGTGCTCTCATGCCTCAGTGAAAAATTTTGACCCAGTTTTAGGTTAATATAATGGAATGCTACCGACATAATTAAATGTAGACTCTCTGTGTAAATATTTTATTTGCTTATGAAGTTTTATTTTAAGATACACTAATATTAACTATTTTTAGACCTCTTCAAAGCCTATCTAAATAATTTGTTACTAGAAGAAAGTGCAACAATTTAAAATTTAGTTTACTTTTAATGTAAATAAAGGCAGACCATTGAGAGAGAATGAAGTTTTAGTTTTTATTCAGAGACTTCTGAGATCTAAGGAAAACTGTTGCCCCCTGCGCATGACATTTTCAATTTTCTGATCTTTTACAAAAGGATGGTAATTGGAATCTTGACATTCCTTATTAAAATAGACGATCTTTTCTACACACACACACACACACACACACACACACAAACACACACACACAGCCTAAAATAGTAGTTTTGGGGCAATTATAAAAACTCCCTGAATACATCAAGAAAATGCATCAAAATATAAAGTTATATTATTAAATCACCCGCATTTGGAGAATTATTAGCACTCTGTAGTTCATTCTCCTAACAATTATGTAGTTCATAGTGCTAATAAAAATATATCGTGAACTCTGTTTAACAGTGTCCATATGTTCCCTGGGGCCTTGCTATATTTTTAAATGTACAGAATCAGTGCTTTACATACATTCAGTACTTTAAATATATTAAGTACATTGTTGTGCAACCATCACCAGCATCCATTTTCAGAACCGTTTATTTTTCAAAACTTAACTCTGTACCAATTAAAGCATAATTCCCCATTCAACTCTTCCTTCAGTCCTTGGGAATCGTCTTTCTAATTCTGTTTCTCTGAGTTTCACTACTCTAACTCTGCTTCTTTTTGTAACTGACTTATTTCATTTAGCATGATATCCTTAAGGTTTCTCCATGTTGTAACGTGTCAGAATTTCCCTCCCTTTTTAGGGCTGAATAATATTCCATTATGTGTGCTCGCTCTCTGTCTCTCTCTCTCTCTCCCTGTGTGTGTGTGTGTGTGCGCATGTGTGTGTGTGTGTGTGTGTATGTTGTACATGTGTACATGCACATTTTTAAATCCATTCATCCATTCATCCATTGATGGACACATAGGTTGCTTCCAACTTTTGGCTGATTTGAATAATGCTGCTATGAATATATATGGGTGCACAAATATGTCTTCAAGACCATGCTTTCAATTATTTTGGGTAAATACCTAGAAGTGGAATCGTTGAACCATAAAGTTAATTCTATCTTTAAGTTTTGAAGAAAAACTTTACTCTTTTCTACAGTGATGACACCATTTTACATTTCTTACAACAATGCACATGGCTTTTAATTTTACCATATCTCACCAATATTTGCTATTTTCTGATTTTTTTTAGTAACAGCCATCATAATTGGTATGAGGTAATATCTCATTGTAGGTTGTATTTGCATTTTTTCTAATGATCAGTGATGTTAAGCGTCTTCCCTATGTGATTTGTAAATCTGAGCTTATTTGTCATTTGTGTATCTTTTTTGGTTAAATGACTACATAAGTCCTTTGTCAATTTTTAAATTAAGTTGTTTATTTCTTTGTCTGATTTTTGTAGTTGAAGGTATAGGAGTTCTTTACATATTCTGTATATTAACACTTTATCAAAAATTTTTGGGTTATTATCTTTCACTCTGTAGAGAGTATCTTTTGACACAGGAAATTTTAAATTTTGATGTAGTCCACCTTATTATTTTTTTCCTTTGTTGCCTGTACTGCTTTTTACAAATTAAATAAATCATTGCCAAATCCAATGTCAGGAATTCATGGTTCCCCCTATGTCCACTTTATAGTTTTAGCTCTTACATTAAGTTTTTGATCCATTTTTACTTAATCTTTTTATATAATGTAAAGGGTCCAAGCTCAATTTTAAGCATGTGGATATCCAGTTTTCCCAGTACCATTTGTTGAATCATTTGATTATATATGCAAGGGTTTATTTTCAGGTTCTCCATTTTTTTATATCAAAAGTATTCATTTTTAATGAAATGATATACTTAAATTTATTAGAATTAACAGATGAATTTAATACAGTTTTTAAAGAAATGTACATAAAATTGTGATATATATATATATATATGCAATGGAATACTATACGGCTTTTATAAAGAAGGAAATTCTGTCATTTCCAACATCAGGGATAAGCCTGGAAGACATTACGTGAAGTTAAATAAGCCAGACACAAGATAAATACTGTAGCATTTCACTTAAATGTGGAATTTAAGTCAAAGTCACAGAAGAGTTGAATGGGGGGTTACCAGAGGTTGGTAGGGAGGAAGGTATTGGAAAAGGAGAGGTATGTATGCAAGCATACAAACTTGTAATTAGAGAAGTGTCATAAGGCTTACTGATCTATTTTACAGCATGGAGACCTTAGTTAATGATCATGTTGTGTATATTTCAGGTTCTCTGTTCAATTCCATTGGTTTATATGTGTGTCATTATGCCAGTAATGTGATAAGAAATTGTGTTGAAATTGCAGGTCACCTTGAGTAGTATTATCTTAATAATAACAAGGCTTCCAATCCACATGCATCAATCTTTTTTCTCTTTTTCGGAGGTGTCTTTTAAAATTTATTTCAGCAAAATTTTATAGTTTTAGTGTACAGTCTTTTGTCTTCTTGGTTAAGTGAATTCTTAAGTATTTTGTTCTATTTGATGCTATTGCAAATGGAATAGTTTTCTTACTTTCATTTGTGTGTTGTTCATTTTTAGTATGGAAATGCAACTGTTTTTTGTTGATTCTGTATTCTGCAATTTGTTTGAATTCATTTATTAGTTCTAATAATGAGTGTGTAGGTGTGTACAATATTTGGGCTTCTCCACATAAAAGATTATGTTATCTATGAACAGAGATAATTTTAATTTTTTTCCTGTCAAATTTGGACGTCTTATTCTTCTTGTCCAGCTGCTCTGGCTAAGATTTAAACTATAATAAATAGAAGTGTTAAGATTAGACATTCTTGTCTTATTCTTGATTTTAGAAGAAAAGTTTTTAATATTTTTCATTAAATATGTTAGCTATGCAATTTTTATATATAGTCTTATTATACTGTTTATTTTCTAGTTTGTTTAGGTTTTTATCATGAAAAGTGTTGAATTTCATCAAATGTTTTTTTGGATCAATTGAGTGAATTTTTTTTTCATTCTGTTAATGTGGTGTGTTCCATTGATTTTATATGTTATGCTATCCTTGTATTCCAGCAATGAATCCAAGTTGGTCATTACATAACATTTTGTTTAATTCTTAAAAAATTATTATGAATACATTATACTTGTACATATTTATGTGGTGCATGCAATATTTTAATACAAGCATGCAATGTGTAATTATCAAATAAGGGTAACTGGGATATCAATTACCTCAGACATTTATCATTTATTTCTGTTTGGAGCATTTCAGTTCCACTTTTAGTTATTTTGAAATATACAATAAATTATGATTAACTATAGTCACTCTACTATTGTGCTACTAAAGACTAGATTTTATTTCTGCTGTGTTACTCTATTTATGTATCCATTAACTATCACCTCTTTATTACCCTTTCATACTACCTTCCCCATCCTCTGATAATCATCATTCTACTCTCTATACCCATAAGTTCAGTACTTTTGCTTCTACATATGAATGAGAACATGATATTTGTCTTTCTGTGCCCGGCTTATTTCACTTAATACAATGTCCCAACGTTCCATCCATGTTGTTGCAAATGACAGAGTTTCATTTTATTTTTGGCTGAGTAGTATTTTGTGTATTTGTATCACATTTTCTTTATTATTTCATCCATTGATGGACACATAGGTTGATTACATATTTTGGCAATTTTGAATAGTGCTGCAGTAAACAGGGAGTACAGATATCTCTTTGATATAATGATTTCTATTGCTTTTGGATAGATTCCCAGCATTGGGATTGCTGGATCATATGGTAGTTTTATTTTTCTTTTTTTTTTATGAACCTCCATACTATTCTCTATGGTGGTTGTACTAATTTACATTCCCACCAATAGGGTATGAGTGTTCCCCTTTCTTCACATTCTTGCCTGCATCCATAATTGCCTTCTTTTATAAAACCCGTTTCAACTGGGGTGAGATCACATATCATGGTAATTTTGATTTGCATTTCTGTGATGATTATTGATGTCAAACTTTTTTTCATATACCTGTTGGTCATTCGTATATCTTCTTGTGAGATATGTTCATATGTTCATTCAGATCTTCTGTCCAGCTTTTACTTACATTATTTTTTTCTATTGAGTTGTTTCAGCTACTGTTTGAGTTATTTGAGCTACTTCTTTCTATTGAGTTATCTGAGTATTTGAACTTATTCCCTGGTTACTCTTCCCTGGTTAGTTGGGTAGTTGAAATATTTTTCCCTTTCCGTGGGTTGTCTCTTGAGTTAGTTGATTGTTTCCTTTGCTGTGCAGAAGTTTATTTAGCTTGACATGATCCTATTTGTGTATTTTTGCTTTGGTTTTTTATGCTTTTGAGTTCTTACTGAAGAAATCTTCGCTTGGTCCAATGTCCTACAGTGTTTCACCAATGTTTTATTCTAGAAGTTTTACAGTTTCAGGTCTTTTGTAAACGGCGAGATATAGAGGTCTAGTTTTATTTTTCCATGTAAGAAATCCAGTTTCCCCGGTACCATTTATTGAAGAGACTCTCCTTTCCCAAGTGAATATTCTTGGTGTTGAAAATGACTTTTCTGTATTTGTATGAATTTATTTCTCGGTTCTATATTCTCTTCCAGCCCAGTCCTGTACTGGGGCTCACTCAAGTCTTGTGGCCACTACTGCCTGGCTGCTGCTGTTTATCAAGGCCCAAGGCCACTTTATTCAGAAGGTGGCGAATCCTCCTGGGACTCGGTCCATCCCATCAGGGCTCTGGACTCCCTTCTTGCCCAGGATGGGTCTAGAAACACCATCCAGAGGCAAAAACTTGGAATCAGGTTCTTCCGGAATCTGCCTGCTGCTTTATTTTACTGTAGCTGAACATGTACCCAAATTGCAAGACAAAATCCTCTGCACTTCGCTTTTTCTCACAAGCAAAAGGAGTCTTCCCCTGAGATGCACTGCTTGGAGGTGAGGGAAAAGTGACACAGGCACTCCCGTGGCTGCCACAATTGGTCTCACACTGAGTCACACTCCAAATTCAATGCCTCTAAGACCAGCACAACACCAGGGATTTCAGTCCTCTTGGCCTGACTGCCACTCAAATTTATTCCAGGTCCTAGGCCACTTTATTCAGCTGGAGGTGAAGCCAACTGGCATGAGATTTCTTCCCACTAGGGCAGAGGATTCCTGTCTGGCCCAGGCTGTTCTAAAGGCTCCCTCCATGGGCATCAGCAGAATTGTGAGTTGTGTTGTGTTTGGCTGTGACAGCACAGCACTGAGTTCTAACACAAGGTTTCATGCTTGCTTCTCTCTTCCTCCTCCAAGCACATAAATTCTGTACTGCAAGGAGTTGGGAAGGGGTAGTGTAAGCAATACAGTCTGTCCTTCCTATCCTCTTCAGTGCCTCTTTCCTTGTAATGTAATTGCTCACCTGTTTTTGGTTCTTATGAAGGTGCTTTCTTGTGTGGATATTTGTTTAATTATGTGCTCCTGTTGGGGGATGATTGCTGGAATGTTCTATGTATCCATCTTCCTCTGCTGCCTCTCCTGTTGAATTCCATTTGCTAGTAATTTGTTGAGGATTTCTGCATCAATATTCAAGGATGTTGGTCTGCAGTTTTTATTTATTTAATGGAACACAGAATTAAAGGCTCTATCTCAAATCTAGAGAGTCAAAATTTGCACTTTAATGAGATCCCTAGGTGGCTTTTATGCACTGCCCTGGGACATGTTTTCTCACCTTTATTGTTTGTTGACTTTATTTTAATCCTCTCTACTTCTAATAAAAATATGTACTAACATTTTTCTGTCATCTTAAATTTGATCAAGACCCAGGGAACAGATGACCCTTATCTTTCATAATTCATTAAGAATCTCTATAATAAATGTTCCATTTTGGTTCCATAGGGTCTTTGCCCTCAGATGGTTTAAGATAAATTTTGTTCATATAAGTTTGATTTTTACAGACTTTAACTTCTGTCAGACTCTCACATTAGCTTAAACAATTCTAACTGTTGAAAAATTACTAATCTAATGAAAATTATATGAACTTAGAAATCAGACATAGCTGGATTGTTCTTGAACTTGCTGTTTTCCATCTATGTGAAGTTGGGAGTATTAATTAATCTACCTAAGACTCTTTTTTTTATCAGAGAGTATTGATGACTAAATGACAGGGCCTATGGTAAGCTCACATAGAATGCATTTCTTGTAGCAGCTCGGCAAATTTCAGCTAACACTTCCGTTTTCACTCGCAGTGCATTAAGCAGATAAAGCATGGGTCTGATGAGAGTCTGTCAGGTCGCCTACTTCAATTCTTCCCTTCTTTCACAGTTATAGAATTTGTGACTTACATCTGACATGTAGATGCCTGGAATAAAGACTATTCCCAGCTCTCTCAGATGTGGTCATGTGAAGAAATGGAAGTGCTGCATGTAACGGGTAGGCAATTCCATTAAAGCAAGTAATATTTTCCTTTTCTCTTCCTCTTCCCTTTTGTCTTAACTGTTATCCGGAGTGTGGACATTTTAGCTGGTGTGGAACAGATATTTGGAATCTCAAGTTAGGAGATTCTTGATGAGAATCACAGAGAAAGATAAAATAAAATGGACTTCCATTAATATTAGCTAATCCAGACGCTTGACCAAAAGGGAAATAATTATAATAGTAAACTGGACACGACAATATGGTTTCAAATCATAACCCTACTTGATTGTAGTAGTTGAAGTAGTATAGTGGTATAGTTGAATAATATACTTAAACATTATATTCCTCAATATACTCATTTAAAAATAAGGAATAATAATGTATATACCTCACAGATGCTGTGAAAATTAAACGAGATAATTCATGTGCAGTGTCCAGAAAAGGGGTCATAACATGAAGGCCTGCCAGTCATATCCTGCCCTCTATTTCTGTAAATAAATTCTATAAGTAGCTTTTGTTGGAATGCAGCCACACCATTTGTTAACACCTTGTCTTCAGCTGCTTTCATGATAGGTTGGCAGAGTCACATAGTTGCAACTGTGGCATTATGACCCACAGAGCTTAAAGTATTTATTATGTCGCCCTTCACACAAAGAAGTTTGCAGGCCCTCGAATGAGAACATAGAAACTGGTCATTTGATTATGTATTTTCTCTACATGAAACCATTGTAGTAAGGTGCTGTCTTGCTTATAAAGTGATTATATCACCAATTAACCTTCAAGTATGCATATGCTTAGGGATAGTTTTTGAGCAATGTGTGTGAGATTTTACTAATCCAACAGTGTTTATTGATTTAATCCCCTTAAGGCCTATGGTACACATCTCCAAAATGTTGGAATGGATTATAGCTTCAGTTTGCAGCCTCAGGGCAGAAGATAAGATTGGTCAATACAAGATGAAACCCATGGTTCATTAATTACTATTATGGGTTAAAAAGCCAGCCTATATATAAGCTCTTTTCCAAGCAATGCAAGATTCCTCTCATGGGAGGCAATGCACTAACCTTCACATATTAGAAGGCTGCCAGGCAAAATCAATTGCAACTCATTGAACTTTCAGACCCTAGAAATCAATGATTCAGATGAAATAAGTATTCTGAAATAACAACATATGGAAATGTTAAAAGATCCAACTCATTCTTAGACAGCTAATATAGCACTTGATTTAAAGGAATTATATGTACCCTTATTAGAAGCCAACCTAGTGTTTTCTATGCCTCTTGCCGTGGCTCTGATTGCAAAACTTTCAAGGTTGATTAACTAAAGTTAAAGAAAAGTATGTCTACCAGCCATTACAATAGCATTTTTTTTCCAGGAAGTATACCTGGGCTGTGCAAAACACTTCTCAATAAACTATGTATGCACTGAAGTTTTAGGCTTAGCTGTTTAGTCAGTTATGTGCCCTACTCTGACTGAAAGTACCTATAATATATTTAAGTTAATCACATTTACTCTTAAGGATTCAAAATTGTTACTGTCTTATTATAGTAATGAGATTTACAGCATAGCTTCTTGTACCATTTGTTTATGTTATTTACAAGATTGAGAAACTATTCAGTTAAATTAAATTCAATAAACATTTATTTTGTCTCACCTATAACAAAATACTCTGTCACTTTGAGTACACATTTAAATTACACATGGTTCCTCCTTTCAACTAAAAATGCAATGTTATGTGTACATTTATTCATATGCACATACTTAAAAATAATGGAAAGTAGTAAAGGGCCTCAGTATGTGAAAGATTTTAACTTGGGGGCAGTTCATTTAAATAACAGCTTCAACAATTTTTTTGTTCAATCATTAAGTATGGCTTTTCTAAGCATCTGCTGTCTTATCACTAAAAAATGAAAGTTTTGTACTTTTTAAAGTTAGAATTAAATAATATGGCATATGTTAGGAGTTTGGCATTTGGATGGCCTTTGATGAATATCGGTTTATTTCTCTATTTTGAATGCACATAGAAGCATGAAAGAAAGACAAAGCCATCCTTAAGAAAGAAATGTTAAACACGTAGAAACTAAATTTACAAATAGATATGGTTTTATACGCAGAAATAGACCATTCCTGGAAGCCAGAGAGTCTGGAAACAAAAGTTTGGAATTACAGGGAAGCCTTAGAAGGCAAGATTATATGAAAAAAAAAAAAAAAGAAGAAGAAAGAAAATGAAAAAAAAAAAAAGAAAATACACGGCAGTCTTCTCATTTTGAACATAATGTTTGTGGAATAAGGCTGGCTAGTTTGTACAAAGGGGAGAGGAAAAGATAAAAGGAAAAACAAAGGATGATAAAATATCATGTAATTGTGATTAGAGTGATTAATGTAACATAGTAGCATTTCAATAAACATTGAATTGACATTGAATTAATTTTATGTGTATTTGTACCCTGGTTCCATGTGTCAATTATTATTAATGAAAAGACAACAGGTTCCTATGTGAAAAATTTTTGTAAGTTTTTTTGCAGTGGGGTAGGTAACTTATTGAATGTGAGTTTATGAAAATGCTATGTAGGTTACTCCATATTTCCAGAGTGATTGATTTTTATGTCAATTGCAAAAGAGAAACTGGGCCATGAAAATACACACAAACACACACACACACACACACACACACACACACACACACACACACGGCCCCATATACACCTTGTAGCAATGCCCTTCAAAGAAAAAAAAATCATATGAAACTGCTACAGTTATCTCCCTGTCCGTTTCTGGCACTTTAAACAATTTAAATCTTTATTTTCACAAATACATATATGCCACCCAGTGAGGCAATCATGCTAGTTGCAAAGGACATTTGTGATTTTTCTGTACTGAATCCTGGAATAATTAAGATGGTTGTGTTAGAAAGAAAAAGAGCAAATGACAGTCCCCAAAATAGGAATAAAAACAGTATGGCTGCTGTTTGGAAATCTCCAGTTACCATCACAGTAAAGGATTTGTCTCTAAGTAGCTGTTTTGTCCTTATTTCTTATATTTCTGCTGTGATGATCTGTAAACTATTTTAAAATAATTTTAAAATATGGACCTATGTGCTTGCTTTCATGGAACCAAAGAAGAATGAGAAGCTCAGAAGCTGGCTTCCCACTCTGTGGACAAACTTAAAATGGACAGAACCCAGAGGTATAATGTCTGATGGGAGACAGCCTCAGTCGCATCATGAAATAATTATATGAACCAGCTTTTGTGAGAAAGTGACGTGGGCCTAAGCAATAAGTTGATCTATAGAATACTCCATGCATCTTTTTAAAAATAATTTTCAATGTTATTATAGTGAAGAACATATAGACAGTGACCTCAGTGGAAGGAATAGTATATTAATTTTGAGATCTGGAGTTCAATCCAGTTCTTTTCCCTCTTCCAGCCATGTGACCTGGGAAACTCATTTAACATTTTCTGGTACTATTTAATTGCATGATTTTCAAGAGCTGTTACTGCTCTGAAATACTCTTTGATGCTAGGAAAGGTTTTGCTGGACTCCATAGAGACAAAAATAAACAAAATCTCAATTAAGATGCAAACCAGATGCAACATTTGAAGACTTTGGAGTTTTAAAATAGTTCCCATCCTGCTGGTGAGAAGACTAATGAACAGTGAAATGACCAATTGCGAGCAATAGATGGAACAGGGATAGTGGGAGGGAGACATCTGAAAAACTCCATCACCTGGATAATCAGCCCCTGAATAATTCAGAGATGACTGCATTTCCCTTACTCGTTGCCTGAACATTTAGCAAATCTCATTGATGTTATTCCTATGACTCTCATGAGGTGACTTATATCAGAACAAATGCTCTTCCATAAAGGCCCAATACTAAGTAAGAAAAGAGCAGTAACGACGCTTTTCCCATTTGTCAATCATTGGCAACTTTTACATTCAGCCAGGTTTTCCCTGCCCTCTGCCATTCGAACCCATTCCATCCTATATGCTCCCACTGCCAGTCCCTTTGTCCACATCGCAGTACCTCTCTCTTAGATTTTTGATGTAATATCTTAGTTGCTCACTCTGATTCTAGGCTTCCTTGCCATTAAACATGCTAGCTATAAGAAAAGTCTTCTAAAATTTGAACCTCTTTATAAACGTCCAACATCACTCTTCAGAGCAAGTGATATACACCAAATTTTGTGTTACAGCTTTAAACTTCCCTTTAGCACTAATGCAAAATTCTCATTCCCATCTTTGAAAATTCCATTACTAAGGAATTACTGCAGCCTGCTTATACTCAATGTTTACTTTGTCACTTTTATACAGATACATAAATACATATATATTTTAAATTTTGCAAATAGGAAGAAAATATGACAAAAGAAATAGAGGGTACTGAGAGGAGAAGCCAGCTGGGCTTCTGGGTCTGGTGGGGACTTGGAGAACTTTTCTGTCTAGCTAAAGGATTGTAAACACACCAGTCAGCGCTCTGTGTCTAGCTAAAGGTTTGTAAACGCAAGAGTCAGCACTCTGTAAAAATGGACCAATCAGCACTCTGTAAAATGGGCCAATCAGCATTCTGTAAAATGGACCAATCAGCAGGAGGTGGGCAAGGCCAAATAAGGGAATAAAAGGTGGCCACCAGAGGCGGCAGCAGCAACTGCTTCTGTGCTGTGGGAGGTTTGTTCTTCTGCTCTTAGTAGTAAATCTTGCTGCTGCTCACTCTTTGGGTCCGCACTACCTTTGTGAGCTATGACACTCACTGGGAAAGTCTGCAGCTTCACTCCTTAAGTCAGCGAGACCACGAACCCACCGGGAGGAATGAACAACTCCAGATGCGCCACCTTTTAAGAGCTGTAACACTACTGCAAAGGTCTGTGGCTTCACTCCTGAAGTCAGCAAGACCACGAACCCACCAGAGGGAAGAAACTCTGGACACATCTGAACACCTGAAGGAACAAACTCCAGACACACCATCTTTAAGAACTATAACACTCACCACGAGGGTCCGCGGCTTCATTCTTGAAGTCAGTGAGACCAAGAACCCACCAGAGGGAACCAATTCCAGACACAATACAATCAGGAAATGTATTGATTTAACTGATTTACTTATGCTTAGAGCACAATGGATAAAAACAAATCTAAACTTGAGGTCCAAACATGGAAATATCCAAATACATTACTTTAAATAAATTTTCACTTTAGCCTGAAAGTATGGAAACAAAGAAATTTTACATTTAGTCTTTACATAAGTTTCAAAAAATTCTATTTTCTTAGAATTGTTGAGCTATATGTGAAAGATAGAAAGGAAAGATGATAAATTTCATGTCTGTTTCTGTTGCGGGAAGTCAGGGACCCCAAACAGAGGGATCGGCTGAAGCCATGGCAGAAGAACGTGGATTGTGAAGATTTCATGGACATTTATTGGTTCCCCAAATTAATACTTTTATAATTTCTTATGCCTGTCTTTACTGCAATCTCTAAACATAAATTGTAAAGATTTCATGGACACTTATCACTTTCCCCAGTCAATACCCTTGTGATTTCCTATGCCTGTCTTTAATCTCTTAATCGTGTCAGCTGAGGAAGATGTATGTCACCTAAGGACCACGTGATAATTGCATTAACTGCACAAATTGTACAGCATGTGTGTTTAAGCAATATGAAATCTGGACACCTTGAAAAAAGAACAGGATAACAGCAATTGTTCAGGGAATAAGAGAGATAACCTTAAACTCTGACTGCCGGTGAGCTGGGCGGAACAGAGCCATATTTCTCTTCTTTCAAAAGCAAATGAGAGAAATATCGCTGAATTCTTTTTCTCAGCAAGGAACATCCCTGGGAAAGAGAATATGCGCCTGGGGGTATAGGCCTATAAATGCCCCCCCCCCCCCCCAGGTGTGCCCATCTCTTATGGTTGAGTGTAGGAGTGAAATAGACCCCAGTCTCCCAAAGCGCTCCCAGGCTTATTAGGAAGAGGAAATTCCTGCCTAATAAATTTTTGGTTAGACCAGTTGCTCTCAAAACCCTGTCTCCTGATAAGATGTTGTCAATTACAATGGTGCTGGAAACTTCATTAGCAATTTTAGTTTTGCCTGGGTCCTGTGGTCCTGTGATCTCACCCTGCCTCCACTTGCCTTGTGATATTCTATTACCTTGTAAAGTACTTGATGTCTGTGACCCACACCTATTCGCACACTCCCTCCCCTTTTGAAAATCCCTAATAAAAACTTGCTGGTTTTTGCAGCTTGTGGGGCATCACGGAACCTACTGACATGTGATGTCTACCCCGGACGCCCAGCTTTAAAATTTCTCTCTTTTGTACTCTGTCCCTTTATTTCTCAAACCGGCCGAGGCTTAGGGAAAATAGAAAAGAACCTACGTGACTATCGGGGCAGGTTCCCCTATATGTTTCTAACATACTCAGAAGTTAAGAAGCATTTTTTATTTTTCATCGTGTTACTTGAGTTTACAAGGATGTGAAACACTGCTAAACCTTTGCGTTTCAGCAATTTGTTTATACATTTTTTCTTGTACTTGGCTGACACAATAAATAGGGGCAAAACATGTTTTCCTTCCAGCCCAGATTACTTTATTCTAACACTTTATTCTATTCTATTTATAACTGTTCAAATACCATTATCTTCTGTGATAAAAGAGAGATTATAACTAGATTTCATCTAAAAATATGCGTCCATACCCACAAGACAGTACATTCATTCTTCAGTAAAGATAGTAGGTTTTAATGGTATGTAAGAAAACTAATAATATTGAAATGTCAACAAATGTAATTGTCACAAAGCAACATATAACAAAATATATTTAAAAATGTAGCTTTGCCACTGTTTCATCGCTTGAACTCATTTAGTTGATTAATTAATTAGCAATTTGTTTTATCTATTACTACTGCAATTCATCAGCAATTCCTGGCAATTGTTGGCTTTCCTTGGACACATCTCTCCAATCTCTGCTTCTAGCTTCACATCAACTTTTCCCGTGTGTCACTTTGGGTTTTGTTCTGTCCCTCATAAGGACACTTTCATTAGCTTTTTTACCCATCCTAATCCAGTATGATCTCATCTTTAGCCTCAGATCACATTCTGAGTTTCTGGGTGGACAATAAATTTGAGAACTATTATCCAATAGACTACACCTTCCATGATAAATTATTTTGGTGTAAGGGAGGTAGAATTCTTCCCCTACCTTCTTAGGGAATCCAGCTGGGCCTAAGAATTAAATGGCCATAGACAGACTAAGAAGATAAAAATACACACATTTTGTTTAATAATTTTTGTAGGCACCTGGGCGCCCTCACAATAAAAAAAAGTCAAGACCCAAAGAAGCAATTGGAGCCCTAAACTTATGTACTAGGTTAAAAGAGGAGTAGTAAATTCTGAAAACGTGACACAACAAAGGGTTTGGGGCTGTGGCAGATAATTGTGGGAAAATATTACTACGAAGATAAGAATTAGTTTAACAAGATTTCTTTGTACAGATTCCTCTCAGCCTCAACTGCCTGTCTGGTCATAAGGATGTCTTCCTTCCACCAGGTACCGGGAGGGCACCTTTCACCTGGGAGTTTTATCTCCTGCTTTCAGGAAAAAAAGAAAAGTCAGAGTGCCCTTCTTGTATCTGCTGTATTTCAAAGGCCTTTAATTTAAAATAATGGAACAAAGTGGCAAATTTTGAAGTGGCATTGTTTGAATGCCTTTGTCTAAGGCATGTCTAACTTGTAGGCAATTTTTTCACCACTTAATTCTGAGAAAGATTGATTAACATTATGAAGGTCTGAGAGAGCTAAAAATATATAAAGACAAGCATACATTACACTGGAAACAAGGTAACAAGAAAATTGTGATGCCTCAAGCAAGAGCAATTGCAGAAGAATGTGACACATATTGACAGCCATAAATTGAAGACAAGATGGAAAAAGACAGGATGCCTACAAGCAAGATAATTCTTTAAAGATACTTATTTTTTCTCTAAATGGGAGGGGCAGGGGAGAGATGGTAAGTTTCTCCTCAAGGGTTCAATGGGAAAATGAAATTCATAAATAAATCTGACCGATTTAAATGATAACGATAAGGAGCTCAGTAAACGGAATTCCTAGAAAATATTTATTTCCTATAATTTCTGGCTCTCATATTACAATGAGCTCCTTAAGGTAAGGGACCAACTAAGTATTTGCTATAACAGGTATTCAGTATATATTACAAAGTAGGTATGACTTCATAGCAGTTATTTAGCAGGTATACAGTACCTACTATACTATAATATTTATGTATGCAGTGATATATAACCGTTTCTGTTGTTGCTATTGAATTCAATACATACATATATATGAAAAATAGGTGTTAAATATGAATATCTTTCTAATAATTGAATGGCCCGGGAGTGCCTAACTGAATAGCTATTTCTGGGCATTACTAGAAGAACAAGAATTTACTCTGACTAGGAAATGAGGCATTTAAGTCAAAGGAAATATAGCGAACTATTTTCATCCCACTATCATAAAAACTCCTCTTGTACTTTGTCCATTTTGTTTAGTGAATTATGCAATAGGCAGATGCAAGTTTATCAGGCTAAGTAGAAAATCAATCTTTTATTTTATTATTATTAGTATTTTTACTGAATATAGGCGTATCATAGTTACTTTTGGCTCCCTAAAAATTCCTGTGTACCAGTACTTACTCTGACACAGTTATGCAGGTTGTTTTGCTTACACTGATTAGCAAACATATTTATTTGAGGGAAGGACACATTGCTCGTAAAACTCTGCATGTATATTATTTATCTACCAGAAATCAGCACATAAAATAGGTTTCTATCTACCCATGCCCCCACCCAGGTGAATTGGGGTAGATGAGAGATTCATAAGGACCTAGCTCCTAGGATGCTTGAGGCTGAAGGAATGGTGTTTAAGGAGAAATCTCAAGCAATGCCAAGTTCCAGTCAGGTAGAATTAGAGTAGCTGAAACAAGGGAACTAAAGTAGCCAAACACTGAAAAAAAGAGATAAAAATATTGTGTGTGCATGTGTGTATATAAATATTCTCAAAGCACATAGATAGACAAGTGAAGAACAGAGCCTAGAGCAATTCCTGAGACAAAATAATAATAAATAAATAAAACAAGAGATGAGTTTGCTTTGTTGATTAGTTTCCTTTTTCACAGTTCTTCTGAAAGCTGACAAGGACCTGTTGCAGATAATTAAAAAAGATATTCCAGAGTAAATGTATTCATACTTTGCAAAATTGAGAGAAGAATAAGAAGCTTACATCAGTCCAAAAAGAAATCCACTACCCACCATCTTCATTTTGCTTTTGGAAACCACCTCTAGTGATTATTTGGCAGACAAAATCTTATGAAATATGGAGATAATATTTATTTGATTGTAATACTCTAAAGGATGGATAATTGTAATTAATATAGTCTGAGTATAAAGTTCTTAAATTCATTATTATGATTTCACCTTGTTACTGCCCCTGTCAACATTTAATTAAATAAAGAGTAAAGGTGACTAAAATATCTTTCGATTAGAATCTTGGAGAAAAACTCAAGTTTTATGATTCAACTTTCTTTCCATATAGTTACTAGCTTCTTTAATTTTGCAAGCACAATTCATCTAATAAGAATTAAATAAAAGGTATTGTGATGGTTAACTGTAGATGTCAAATATGCTTGCCCACAGTCCCCAGATATTTATTCAAACATCATTCTAGATGTTTCAGTGAAGGCATTTCTTAGATAAGATTAACATTTCTATCAGTAGCTTTTGAGTGAAGCAAGTTACTCTTTATATTAAGGGGAAGAGGGGACATAATATGTATTAAGACTTACCAGTTGAAGGCCTTAGTAGAAAAAGACTGACCTCTTACAAAAAAAAAAAAAAAAAAAGGAATTCTGCTAGCTGGCTACTTTCTGACTTAAACTGTGACTCTTTTTACCCTGCTGGCCTACCATGCAGATATTTGCATAAGCCAATTCCTTAAAATTCCCTCTCTCTCTCCTTCTAGTTCTTTCTCAGGATGCATACACACACACACACACCCACCCACACACACACACACACACACGTTTCTGATGAATTCTGACTAATACATGCACTGAATGAAAATTAGAGATATAAATAATGGTTTTATAATTTAGGAATTTTTACATAAAATGTTTAAAATATTTGTGTAGTACACTCTTGAAAATACAATTTTTATTAAAATATTTCTGTAACATATAATGTGTAATTAGAGGATAATAATAGCTGATATCTATTGAGAGCTTACCATAGATTTAATACTGTTCTGAATGTTTTATGTGAATTAATCTAATTCTGATATTATTCCTATAAGGTATGTATTGATATCACATCATTTCTATGATAAAGAGTCAAGAGTTCAAGACCAGCCTGACCAACATAGTGAAACCCTGACTCTACTAAAAATACAAAAAAATTAGCCAGGCATGGTGGTGCGTGCCTGTAATTCCAGCTAATCGGGAGGCTGAGGTAGGAGAAGCGCTTGAACCCAGGAGGCAGAGGTTGCAGTGAGCTGAGATCGTGCCACTGCACTCCAGCCTGGACAACGGAGCAAGATTCTGTCTCAAAATAGAGAAAAGACTGAGATAAAGTGGTTGCCCAACTTATCCAAGGTTTTACTACTAGCTCTAACAGAGCCAGACTGTAGAGCAAGACATTCTGACACCTAATCCCAAATGATAAAAACATTGTGCTATAATGCCTCGGAATAGAAGTGCTACATTCATCTGGGAGGATGTAGAGTCTTCTATTCCTGGCTTACCAAGCTAATGCTTTATTTCATACAACATAAGGTCCCAGGTAACTAGGAAGAGTGAAAAGATTTTCAAAAATAGCATAGGAAATAGAGTCTTTAGACATGATTCTGGGGTTAACTGACATATTAAGAATAAGGACTGAAGGCAGATACAGCAAAAAAGAAGTATAAAAATATCCAAGGCCCATGGTGAATAATTTATCCTCCTAGATGGCAACACTGCTCTAATGCAGATTATTACAATAGGCTATATTCTTCCAGTTTCAATGTTTTTTTCTCATTAGAGACATCACGGATTTTGAGTATGTGAAAAGCATTTCGGGAGAAATGGTAACAGAAATTGGTATAAACACACTGTGTAGTAAAGTTGGTTGGAGGCATTCTCAGTATTGCCAGTGCTTGGTTCCTATTGCAAAGGAAGTCATAACTTAAAAATGGCATTAAAAATGTGTAAAATTGTGTGATGTTTCATCTCAATATACCTCATCTAAAGAAGCAAAGGAAAGAAAATCTGGTGGTTATAAAAGTAGCTGTGGGTAGCAGATTCATCAGCATCTAGTGACCAGTAAAATTTAAGTATTGTGGCTGACTTTTAATCAGTGTCTTTTAAGAGACTCAGGAAGAAGTAGTTAGTTAGCATGTATTTGTATATATAAATACATTGTACAATGTGACTGAAATTCTAGTGCCGCATGGTAAAAGAAAATTGAACACGCTGAAATCACATCAAGGCAATAAAGACAACTTTTTAATCACAGGTGTAGTAAAATGCAAGGACCTTAGTGCACTGTGCTAGGTGACTTTAAGATAAGACCAGATCGTGCCTGTGCCTGCCCTGCCTTTCAAATTTTGTTACCTTAACTTGGGTTTGATGAGAATATAGAACATTCAATCCAGAGAGGCAACTTGTTTACAGAGAGACAGTCACATGAAAAATAATACTGCATAGTATTTAGTAATGTTGGCTTTAGAGTTAAATTTGATATTATTACTAGTTCTAACTCTTACTAGAAGTTTGGACAACCACCTTTTTTAATGTGTGGTTAACAAAGCCTTTCTCACAGATGGATGCTATGGTAGAGTCTCCTTCGAAGGTCTGTTCCTTAAAACCCAGGGGCTATACATTCTTCTTTCTGCAAAGTTTAGAGCTGACAACAGGTGGGAACAATATAATTTATCAGATTAAAATGATTGTTAAACAACGTCGATGAATACTGAACACAGTTCAGTTGCTCATCACTATTCCCTGTGAAGATATGATGACTATAACATAAAATGCATAGGTATTTTTAAGTTTTTTATTTTAAACATTTTAATCCTTATTAAAGTCAGAGAAGTAGGACAGAGAAAACAAAGGCCTACTTCTTGGTATTGTGCATGATGATCTATTTTACATTTTGCAGCACATATTTTGTTTACTTCAGATGGCATCAACACTGAAAGAAATAAGCTTTTTAAAAGAAATTATGACACAGATAAAACAAAAGACCATTTTATACTGGACAGAAAACAAAAGTAAAAAAATATATTTGTTTAGAATTACATAAAACTTCACGAAGAGACCTATCAGTAGAAGAAAAAGATAGTGGGATAATAACTGACTTTCTCATAGTTACAGTTGCAATAAAACCTGATACTGGGTTGCTTACCTAGGAAACTAAATGCAACTTTATGAATGATTCATAGGTTAATGGTAGAGAAACTCTGGGACTACAACACAACCAGACAGAGCACCTTTCTAATCCAGAGAATATGTACCATGATTAAAAATCAGATATATAAGAATTAGCGGCAAAAATACTTAGACAAAGATGACATTTACCAGGATGTGCTAATTGAGAAGATGCAAATAGAGATATCAAAGAAAAATGTCAGTATTTTATATGTAGGTTAAAATTGATTAATTCAAAACAATGAAGAGGTGAGTTTATCCATAATAATAATGTATTTCTTAGGAATTTTAAAGATAGAGACCATCAGTCTGCTGGCAAGATGGCCAAATAGGAAGAGCTCCAGTCTGCCGTTCTCAGGGAAATTAATGCAGAAAGCAGGTGATTTATGCATTTCCAACTGAGGTACCCTGTTCATCTCACTGGGACTGGCTAGGCAGTCTGTGCAGCCCACAGAGGGTGAGCAGAAGCAGGGAGGGGCATTGCCTCACCCAGGAAGTACAAGGAGCAGGACAGGAAGTACAAGGAGCAGGGGTCCCCCTTTCCCAGCCTAGGGAAGCCATGAGGGACTGTGGTATCAGGCCCAGAATATATGCTTTTCCCACAGTTTTTGCATTCCGCAGACCAGGAGATTCCCTTGTGTGCCTACACCGCCAGGGCTCTGGGTTTCAAGCACAAAACTGGGCGGCTGTTCAAGCAGACATGGAGCTAGCTGCAGGAGTTTTTATTTTTTTTTCATACCCCAGTCATATCTGGAACCCCAGCAAGACAGAACCGTTCACTCCCCTGGAAAGGGGGCTGAAGCCAGGGAGCCAAGTGATCTTGCTCAGGGGGTCACAATCCCACAGAGACCAGCAAGCTAAGAACCACTGGCTGGAAATTCTCACTGACAGCACAGCAGTCTGAAGTTTACCTGGGATGATGGAGCTTGGTGGGGAAGGTGCATCTGCCATTACTGAGGCTTAAGTAGGCAGTTTTCCCCCGACAGCACTAAGGAAGCCTGGAAGTTTGGACTGAGTGGAACTCAACACAGAGTGACAAAGCAGCTGTGGCCAGACCACCTTTCTAGATTCCTCTTCACTGGGCAGGCATCTCTGAAAGAAAGACAGCAGCCCCAGTCAGGGACTTAAAGTTAAAACTCCCATCTCCCTGGGAGAGAGCACCTGGGGAAAGGGGTGACTGTGGGCACAATTTCAGCAGACTTAAACATTCCTGCCACTTGGCTCTGAAGAAAGCAGAAGATTCTCACAAGGAGGGTTCTACCAGCACAGCGCTGGAGCTCTGCTAAGGGACAGACTGCCTCCTCACGTGGGTCCCTTACCCTGTGTCTCCTGACTAGGGGAGACCTCCTAACAGGGGTTGACAGACATCTCATACAGGAGAGCTCCGGCTAGCATCAGGCAAGTGCCCCTCTGGAACGAAGCTTCCAGAGGAAGAAGGCAGCAATCTTTGCTGTTCTGCAGCCTCTGCTGGTGATACCCAGGCAAATGGGGTCAGGAGTGGACCCCCAGCAAACTGCAGCAGACCTGCAGAAGAGGGGCCTATTAGAAGAAAAACTAACAAACAGAAAGCAATAATATAAACATCAACATCAACAAAAGAAACTCCCACATGGAAAACCCATCCAAAGGTCTTCAGCCTCAAGATTAAAGGTAGATAAATCCACGAAGATTTGGAAAAACCAGCACAAAAATACTGAAAATTCCAAAAACCAGAATGCCCCTTCTCCAAATGATTGCAACGCCTCTCCAACAAGGACACAAAATTTGACAGAAAATGAGTTTGATGAATTGAGAGAAGGAGGCTTCAGAGGGTGTGTACTAACAAAGTCCTCTGAGATAAAGGAGCATGTTCTAACCCAATACAAGGAAGCTAAGAACCTTGACAAAAGGTTACAGGACTTGCTAACTAAAATAAGCAGTTTAGAGAACATAAATGACCTGATGGAGCTGAGAAACACGGTACAAGAACTTTGTGAAGCATACACAAGTATCAACAGCCAAATCAATCAAGCAGAAAAAAAGATATCAGTGATTGAAGATGTACTTACTGAAATAAGGTGTGAAGACAAGATTAGATAAAAAAGATTGAAAAGGAATGAACAAAGCCTCCAAGAAATAATGAGACTATGTGAAAAGACCAAACCTAGAATTGACTGGGGTCCCTGAAAGTGATGGGGAGAATGGAACCAAGTTGGAAAACAGACTTCAGGAAATTATCCAGGAGAACTTCCCCAACGTAGCAAGACAGGCCAACATTCACATTCAGGAAATACAGAGAACACCACAAAGATACTCCTTGAGAAGTGAAATCCCAAGGCACATAATCCTCAGATTCTCCAAGGTTGAAATGAAGGAAAAAATATTAAGGACCACCAGAAAGAGAGGTCAGGTTACCTGCAAAGGGAAGCCCATCAGACTAACAGTGGATCTCTCTCCAGAAACCGTATATGCCAGAAGAGAGTGGGGGCCAATATTCAACATTCTTAAAGAAACAAATTTTCAACCCAGAATTTCATGTGAAACCAAACTAAGATTCATAAGGGAAGGAGAAATAATTCCCTTACAGACAAGCAAATACTGAGGGATTTTGTCACCACCAGGCCTGCCTTACAAGAGCTCCTGAAGAAATCACTAAATATGAAAAGGAAAAACAGGTATCAGTCACTGCAAAAACACACCAAAATATAAAGACCAACGACGCTATGAAGAAACTGCATCAATTAATGTGTAAAATAACCAGCTAGTATCATGACGACAGGATCAAATTCACACATAACAATATTAACCTTAAAGGTAAATAGACTAAATGTCACAGTTAAAAGACACAGACACAGAATTATCTGTTCATATCCTTTGGCCACTTTTTGATAATGTTTGTTTTCTTCTTGTGAATTTCTTCAAGTTCCTTGTAGACTCTGGATATTAACTCTTTGTCAGATGGATAGATTGCAAAAATTTTCCCCCATTTGGTAGGTGGCCTGTGCACTCTGATGATAGTTTCTTTTGCTGTGCAGAAGCTCTTTAGTTTAGTTAGATCCCACTTGTCAATTTTGGATTTTGTTGCCATTGCTTATGGTATTTCAGTCATGAAGTTTTTGCCCATGCCTATGTCCTGAATGGTACTGCCTAGGTTTTCTTATAGGGTTTTTATGGTTTTAGGTCTTTTGTTTAAGTCTTTAATCCAAGTTGAGTTAATTTTTGTATAAGGTGTAAGGAAGGTGTCCAGTTTCTGTTTTCTGCATATGGTTAGCCTGTTTTCCCAACATCATTTATGAAATAGGGAATCCTTTCCCCATTGCTTGCTTTTGTCAGGTTTGTTGAAGATCAGATGGTTGTACATGTGTGGTGTTATTTCTAAGGCCTCTGTTCTGTTCCATTGGTCTATAAATCTGTTTTGGTACCAGTATCATGCTGTTTTGGTTACTGTAGCCCTGTAGTGTAGTTTGAAGTCAGATAGCAGGATGCCTCCAGGTTTGTTATTTTTGCTTAAAATTCTCTTGGCTATATGGGCTCTTTTTTGGTTCCCTATGGAATTTAAAGTAGTTTTTTTGAATTCTGTGAAGAAAGTCAATGGTAGCTTGATGGGGATAGCATTGAATCTGTAAATTACTCTGGGCAGTATAGCTATTTTCATGATATTGATTCTTCCTCTCCATGAGCATGGAATGTTTTTCCATTTGTTTGTGTCCTCTCTTATTTCCTTGAGTGGTGATTTGTAGTTCTCCTTGAAGAGGTCCTTCACGTCCCTTGTAAGTTGTATTCCTAGGTATTTTATTCTCTTTGTAGCAGTTGTGAATGGGAGTTCACTCATGATTTGGCTATTTGCTTGTCAATTACTGATGTATAAAAACAGTTGTGATTTTTGCACACTGATTTTATACCCTGAGACTTTGCTGAAGTTGCTTATCAGCTTAAGGAGATTTTGAGGTGAGAAGACAGGTTTTTCTACATATACAGTCATGTTGTCTGCAAATTGATTCAATTTAACTTCCTCTCTTCCTATTCCTATTTGATATCCTTTATTTATTTCTCTTGCATGAATGCCCTGGCCAGAACATCCAATACTATATTGAATGGGAGTGGTAAGAGAGGGCATTCTTGTCTTGTGCTAGTTTTCAAAGGGAATGCTTCTAGCTTTTGCCCATGCAGTATGATATTGGCTGTGGTTCGTCATAAATAGCTCTTATTATTTTGAGATACGTTCCATCAATACCTAGTTTATTGAGAATTTTTAGCATGAAGGGGTATTGAATTTAATCGAAGGCCTTTTCTGCATCTATTGAGATAATTATGTGGTTTTTGTCATTGGTTCTGTTTATGTGATGGATTATGTTTATTGATTTGAGTATGTTGAACCAACCTTGCATCCCAGGGATGAAGCCTATGCAAAAAATATTCATCATCACTGGTCATTAGAGAAATGCAATTCAAAACCATAATGAGTTACCATCTCATGCCTGTTAGAATGGCGATTATTAAAAAGTCAAGAGACAACAGATGCTAGAGAGGATATGGAGAAATAGGAATGCTTTTACACTGTTGGACAGAGTGTAAATTAGTTCAGCCATCGTGGAAGAAAGTGTCGCAATTCCTCAAGGATGCAGAACCAGAAATACCATTTGACCCAGCAATCCCATTACTGGATATATACCCAAAGGTTTATAAATCATTCTACTATAAAGACACATGCACATGTATGTTTATTGCAGCACTTTTCACAATAACAAAGACTTGGAACCAACCCAAATGCCCATCAATGATAGACTGGATAAAGAAAATGTGGCACATATACACCATGGAATACTATGCAGGCATAAAAAAGGATTAGTTCATGTCTTTTGCAGGGACATGGATGAAGCTGGAAACCATCATCCTCAGCAAACTAACACAGGAACAGAAAACCACACACCACACGTTCTCAGTCATAAGTGAGAGTTGAACAATGAGAACACATGAACACAGGAAGGGGAATATCACATACTGGGCCCTGTTGGGGAATGGGGGGCTAGAGGAGGGATAGCATTAGGAGAAATACCTAATGTAGGTGACAGGTTGATGGGTGCAGCAAACCACCATGGCACATATATACCTATGTAATAAACCTGCATGTTCTGCATGTGTATTCCAAAACCTAAAGTATAATAATAAATAAATAATTAAAATGAATGACATAGATTGGCAAAGTGGAGAAAGAGTCAAGACCCATTGAAGTGCTGTATTCAGGAGACCCATCTCATGTGTAAAGGAACACACAGGCTGAAAATAAAGGGATGGAGGAATATTTACCAAGCCAATGGAAAGCAGGGGTTGCAAACCTAGTCTCTGATAAAAGACTTTAAACCAATAAAGATCAAAAAAGACAAAGAAGGGCATTACATAATGGTAAAGGGATCAATGCAACAAGAAAAGCTAACTATCCCAAATGTATATGAACCCAAAACAGGAGCACTCAGATTCATAAAACAAGTTCTTAGAGACCTACAAAGAGACTTAACCTCCCACACTATAATAGTGGGAGATTTTAACACCCCACTGTTCATATTAGACAGATTAACACGACAGAAATTTAACAGGGATATACAGGACTTTAACTCAGCTCTCAGCGAAGCAGAACTAATAGATATCTACAGAACTCTCCACCTTAAATCAGCAGAATATACATTCTTCTCAGCACCACATAGCACATAATTGGAAGGAAAACACACCTCAGCAAATGGAAAAGAATGGAAATCGTAACAAACAGTCTCTCAGACTATAGTGCAATCAAATTAGAACTCAGGAATAAGAAACTCACTCAAATCTGCACAACTTCATGGAAACTGAACAACCTGCTCCTGAATGACTACTTGATAAATAACACAATTGAGGGAGAAATAACCAAGTTCTTTGAAAGCAGTCAGAACAAAGACACAACGTACCAGAATTTCTGGGACACAGCTAAAGCAGTGTTTTGAGGGAAATTTATAGCATTAAATGCTCACATCAGAAAGACAGAAAGATCTAAAATCAACACCCTAACATCACAATTAAAAGAACTCGAGAAGCAAGAGCAAACAAATTCAAAAGCTAGCAAAAGACAAGAAATAACTAAGATCAGAGCTGAACTAAAAGAGATAGAGACATGAAAAAAGCCAATGAATCCAGGAGCTGTTTTTTAAAAAGATTAACAAAATAGACCACTAGCCAGACTAATAAAGAAGAAAAGAGAGAAGAATCAAACAGACACAATAAAAAATGATAAAGGAGATATCACCACTGATCACACAGAAGGACAAATTACCATCAGAGAATACTGTAAACACCTCTATGCAAATAAACTAGAGAATCTAGAAGAAATGGATAAATTTCTGGACACAAACACTCTCCAAAGACTAAACCAAGAAGTCGTCGAATCCCTGACCAGACCAATAACAAATTCTGAAATTGAGGCAGTAGTTCATAGCCTACAAACCAATGAAAGCCCAGGACCAGATGGATTGACAGCCGAATTCTACCAGAGGTACAGAGAGGCGCTGGTACCATTCCTTCTGAAACTATTCCAAACAACAGAAAAAGAGGCACTCCTCCATAACTCATTTTATGAAGCCAGCATCATCCTGATTCCAAAACCTGGCAGAGGCACACACAAAAAAAGAAAATTTGAGACCAATATCCCTGATGAACATCAATATGAAAATCCGCAATAAAATACTGGCAAACTGAATCCAGTAGCACATCAAAAAGCTTATCCGCCATGATCAGGTCAGCTTCATCTCTGGTATGCAAGGCTGGTTCAACATATGCAAATCAGTAAATGTAATCCATCACATAAACAGAAGCAATGACAAAAACCACATGATTATCTCAATAGATGTAGAAAAGGCCTTCAATAAAATTCAACACCGCTTCATGCTGAAAACTCTCAACAAACTAGGTATTGATGGAACATATTTCAAAATAATAAGAGCTATTTATGACAAACTTACAGCCAATATCATACTGCATGGTCAAAAGCTGTAAGCATTCCCTTTGAAAACCAGCACAAGACAGGGATGCCCTCTCTTACCACTCCCATTCGAGATAATATTGGAAGTTCTGGACAGAACAATCAGGCAAAAGGAAGAAATAAAGTGTATTCAGTTAGGAAGAGAGGGAGTCAAATTGTCTCTATATGCAGATGACATGATTGTATATTTAGAAAACCCCATTGTCTCAGCCCAAAATCTCCTTAAGCTGATAAGCAACTTCAACAAAGTCTCGGGATAGAAAATCAATGCGTAAAAATCACAAGCATTCCTATAAACAAATAATAGACAAGCAAAGGGCCAAATTGTGAGTGAACTCCCATTCACAATTGCTACAAAGAGAATAAAATACCTAGGAATACAACTTACAAGGGACATGAAGGACCTCTTCAAGGAGAACTACAAATCACCACACAAGGAAATAAGAGAGGACACAAACAAATGGAAAAACATTCCATGCTCATGGAGAGGAAGAATCAATATCATGAAAATGGCCATACTACCCAAAGTAATTTATAGATTCAATGCTATCCCCATCAAGATACCATTGACTTTCTTCACAGAATTCAAAAAAACTACTTTAAATTCCATATGGAACCAAAAAAGAGCCCATATAGCCAAGACAATTCTAAGCAAAAAGAACAAAGCTGGAGGCATCACGCTACCTGACTTCAAACTATACTACAGGGCTACAGTAAGCAAAACATCATGGCACTGGTACCAAAACAGATTTACAGACCAATGGAACAGAATAGAGGCCTCAGAAATAACACCACACATATACAACCATCTGATCTTCAACAAACCTGACAAAAACAAGCAATGGGGAAAGGATTCCCTATTTCACAAATGGTGTTGGGAAAACAGGCTAGCCACATGCAGAAAACGGAAACTGGACCCCTTCCTTACACCTTATACAAAAATTAACTCAACATGGATTAAAGACTTAAATGTAAGACCTAAAACCATAAAACCCTAGAAGAAAACCTAGACAATACCATTCAGGACACAGGCATGGGCAAAAACTTCATGACTAAAATACCAAAAGCGATGGCAACAAAAACCAAAATTGACAAATGAGATCTAATTAAATTAAAGAGCTTCTGCTCAGCAAAAGAAATTGTCAGCAGAGTGAACATGCTATCTACAGAACGGGGGAAAATTTTTGCAATCTATCCATCTGACAAAGGGCTAATATCAAGAATCTACAAGGAAGTTAAACAAATGTACAAGAAATAAACAACCTCACCAAAACGTGGGTGAAGGATATGACAGATATTTCTCAAAGGCAGACATTTATGTGGCCAATAAACATATGAAAAAAAGGCTTACCATCACTGACCATTAGAGAAATGCAATCAAAACCACAATGAGATACTAACACTTGCCAGTTATTATGGTGATCATTAAAAAGTCTGGAAACAACAGATGCCGGTGAGGATGCAGAGAAATAGGAACACTTTTACACTGTTGGTCAGAGCGTAAATTAGTTCAACCATTGCGGAAGACAGTGTGGTGATTCATCAAGGATCTAGAACTAGAAATACCATTTGACTCAGCAATCCCTTTACTAGGTATATATCCAAAGGATTATAAATCATTCTACTATAAAGCCACATACATATATATGTTTACTACAACACTATTTACAATAGCAAAGACATGGAACTAAACCAAATGCACACCAATGATAGACTGGATGAAGATAATGTGGCACATATATACCATGGAATACTATGCAGCCATAAAAAGAATGAGTTCACGTCCTTTGCAGGGACATGGATGAAGCTGGAAACCATCATCCTCAGCAAACTATCACAAGGACAGAAAACCAAACACCACATGTTCTCTATCATAAGTGGGAGTTGAACAATGAGAACACATGGACATAGGGATGTGAACATTACACACTGGGGTATGTCACAAGGTCAGGGACAAGGGGAAGTACAGCATTAATACACATATCTAATGCATGCAGGGCTTAAAATCTAGATGACAAGCCCAGCACTTTGAGAGGCTGAGGCGGGCGGATCATGAGGTCTGAAGACCAAGACCATCCTGGCTAACACGGTGAAACCCTGTCTATACTAAAAATACAAAAAATTAGCCAGGCATGGTGGCAGGCATCCATAGTCCCAGCTACTCAGGAGGCTCAGGCAGGAGAATGGCGTGAACCCAGGAGGAGGAGCTGGCAGTGAACCAAAATCGCGCCACTGCACTCCAGCCTGGGCGACAGAGCTAGACTCCATCTCAAAAAAAAAAAAAAAAAACAAAACAACAACAACAACAAAAAAAAACAGATGACAGGTTGATAGATGCAGCAAACTACTACCACGGCACATGTATACCTATGTAACAAACCTGAGCATTCAGCACATATATCCCAGAACTTAAAATAAAAAAAGCAAAAAAAGTCAAGGCAAAATCATAAAGTTAAAAAATAAATACATAAATAAATAAAGAGACCGTCTTTAAAATATATACCAGATTTAATGACAAGATATGACATGTTGAAATCATGGGCAAGCAGAGAAAATTAAAGTAAATATTGAAGTATATTTAAAAGAAAATTCTCGTTCTTTGACTCCTCAAAAAATTCTGACCCTTTATAAAAATAATAAAATGACACTCAAATCAGATAAAGATAATAAATATGATAAACATTGTTTAACTTCTCTCAATGTGTTAAGATTGACGACATCATTTTAATCTCTTATTCCAAATCTGTTTTATGAACCCTAAAGGTAAGACACCGCTTACATAAAAATAAGTATGTACCATTGTACCAGGCAACAGAGAAGCATCACATTTCACTATGTCTCTTAATAATAGCGGTTATCAAAATTACAATTGATTGGAATAAATTTGAAAGTTATTTTGAAATAAATCTAATTCTTCTTATTAATGATTTTTTCAGAAGAACTGACAAATACAGAAGATGAAAAATGAATGAATTAAGGAGATAGGCAGACATGGGGTCAAAAATATTAACTATATATTCAAATAAAATAATATATGAAATAGGATAAATATAATTTATCAAATAATAAATACAGCATTTACTCTAGGATTCTCTACCTCTGTTGTACAAAATAAACTTTTTAGAGTGTGTCCTTATTTGTCAAAAAAATAAACAAACTGGAAAAATGAGTAATGGTATCCAATTACCTAAGCAGGAGATATGAAGAAATATAAGCCATAGACCCACTCTCACTTTCTCAAGGGGAAATGTAAATAAAAGAATGATCATAATTTACAGCTTGGCAGTATGTAGTTCTGGTTCATTCACTTTCCTCGCGTTCAAACCCTACTAATGTAAGTACTACTGTCCTTGTCTTCATTTACATATTCAGAAATATTTCCAAGAGTGTAAGGCTAGAGGGTAAATTGCTAGGACAAAGGTGTGTACATTTTCATATTCACTTCAATATTCACCAAATATTCCCAAATTACTCATGAAATTATCATACCAATTTCCTTGAAATTATCATACCAATTTCCTTCATATAAATAACATCCTCCCCAATGTATACTAACAGACTGATAAAATTATTTTTCTCATAGTCTTTCTCAATTGGGATTTTTTATCTGAATCACAAAACATAGAGAGTGAATTGAGTCACTATCTTCTCAATTCACCCAAGAATGGAACATAACTAGTACCATACTAAATGAATTGGGGAGGGACTAATTCATTACATATGTTAAACACCTTAAGGGATTATATCTTAATATTCCCCTGAATCCTGGTGGAGAAAAGCTGTATCAGTATGAGAAATAATTTCCTAATTAAGAACAAATTTGTATTTTGCTGATTAGGAATGAGGTTCACTCCATCATTGTTACTGTCCTGTATATGACACCTTTTCAAAAAACAGTAATTATTTACAATTCCAAACAATCCCTTTACTATCAATCTTATTTCACCCCAATCTGCTCTACTTTTTAGTTTTTAAATAATTTTACCTTCTAAAACAGTATATAATTATTTATCAGTAGACTTCTTATTGCTTATCTCTCTCTGTTAGATGTAAGCTTACAGTGGCAGTGATCTTGAATGCTTGTTCACTGATATTTTTAAAATACCTTTTAGGTGTTTTTATACAATCTAGATACTAAGGCTTTTTGGTTTTCAACACTGCAAATATCCCCTGATACTCTCTATGGCTGCTTCTTTTTATTTTATTTTATTTTATTTTTATTATTATTGAGACAGAATCTCTCTCTGTCACCCAGGCTGTAGTGCAGCGGTGTAATCCTGGTGAATTGTTTTATTTTTTGTAGAGATGGTTGTATCACTGTGTTGTCCAGGTTGGTCTCAGACTCCTAGGCTCAACAGTCTTCCTGCCTAGGTCCTACAGAGTGCTGGGATTATAGGCATGAGCGACCACATCCAGCTTGGCTGCTTCTTTTTAGTAGTATCATGTCACATACAACCTTTTCATACAATCCAGTTTTCACATAATTATATGAAATTTCATTACGTATTATTTAAATTATAAGAAAAATATTACTTAAATGTATATTATTTTTCATATACTTCAATTCTTCAGTGTTTTCCATTATGTTTTACTTTTCCAGCCCGTTAACATTTTATCTTCAGTGTTCAAATAAAGATTTTGATAATATATATCACAAATCGTAAAGTTTTGCTTTTTAACTTTACTTATAATTACCTTGAAATTCATTTTTGTATTCATTTCAATAAAATAATTCAATATATATAGAGATCAATGTAACCAATTTCTCCTACATCTTTTATTGAGTTACTCCCTTCCCTATTAATCTGCAATCCCATGTGTGATTTATATTAATTTTTCATATATGCAAGTGTTTGTTCCTAGTTTCTCTATTCTGTTAGTCCATTTGACTATAACTGAACTAATAGGAAGCTCTCAAAATTACAATAGCTCTACCTAGTTCCAAAACATTTCATTACTCCAGAAGAAACCACATACCTATTAAGCAGTCTATTTCTTATTCCCTCTCATCAGCCCCTGAAAACCACTAATCTGATATTTTAGATTTATCTATCTGGACCTTTCATAAAAAATGGAATCAGCAACATGTTACCATTTGTGTCTGGCTTCTTTCACTTATCATGCAGTTGTCAGGTGTATCTCATTGTAGTATCCATCAGTATGTCCTTCCTTTTTATAGCTGAATAATATTCCATTGTATTAATATACCACAAATTGGTTATGTATTCATTTGTTGATAGACACTGGGTTGTTTCCATCTCTTGACTATTGTGAACTATTGTGACTATCTATGAATATGCATTCACATGTGTTTGCTTGAGGACTTGTTCTCAGTAATTTGGGGCTTACACCTAAGAGTGGAATATCTAGGTCTAACTGTAATAGTATGGTTAATATTTTCTGAAACCACCAAACAGTATTTCACAATGGCTGCACCATTTTAAATTCCCACCGGCAAAATACAAGGGTTCCACTTTCTCTGTATCTTTTTAACACTTACTACGTAAAAAAGTTTTTATAGCCATCATTGAGGGGGTGAAGTAGTTTCCCATAGACTTTTGATTAGCCTTTTTATCATAACTAATGATTTAAAAACTTTTCTTGTGCTTGTCATTTATAAATATTTTGGAAGAAATATTTATTCAAATCATATGCATAGTTTTTAATTGAGTTGTCTTTTTTGATGAGTTGTAAAAGTCATTCATATATTCTAGATACTAGACTATTATCAGATACATAATTTGCAAAATATGTTATACCACTCTATAGATTGATTTTTTCTCACTTTCTTAATAATGTTTTGTGATTCCTACATTTTTAATTTTGACGAAGTTTCATTTATCTCTAATTTTTTCCCATTTTTTGCTCATGCCATTGGTGTCATATCTAATAAACCTATTGCCAAATTCATGGTTAGAAAATGTTGCACTATGTTTTATTCTAAGATTTTCATAGTTTTAGCTCATATTTAGCTTGTAAATTCATTTTGAGTTAATTTTTCTATTTGGTGTGAGGTACAAATAAAACATCATTCTTTGCATATGGATTTCTAGTTGCACTAGCACCATTTGTGGAACAGACTATTCATTTCCCATGGATGGTCTTGGCACACTTGTGAAAAATCAATTCATTACCAATGTAATTTTTTTTCTGGACTTACAATTCTATTCCATTAGTCTATATATGTCTTTATGAAAGTCTGACACTCTTTTGATTACTGTAGATCTATAGTAAATGTTGAAATTAGCAAGTGTAATACTTCCAACTTTTTCTTTTAAATCCTATTAAATGCCTATGAAGATCACTTCCAATTTCCCAGAAATTTGAATTTCTGCTTTTCCATTTCTGCAAAAATATCCATTAGAATTTCAATAGAGATTGCATTGAGTTTGTAGATTGCTTTGGGTAATATTCCCATCTTAATATCAAGTCTTCTAATTAATGATCTCATGATACCTTTTCATTTGCTTAGGTCTTCTTTAACTTCTTTCAGTAATACTCTGAGTTTTCAGTGTATAAGTCTTTCCTCTCCTTGATTTAATTTTGGCCAAGGTATTTTCTTTTATATGCTATTGTTAGTGGAACTGATTTGTTGATTATCTTTTCAGAAGGTTTATTGATGTTGTAGAGAAAGAAAATATTTTTGTCTGTTGATATGCAACATTATGAATTTATTAGTTCTGACAGGTTTCTGTGGTTAAGATTTTCTATATCTAGGATCATGTCCTTTGTGATAGGAGTGTTTTCTTCGTCTTTTCCAATTTGAATGTCTTTTATTTCTCATTTAACAGTTTTGGATAAAATTTCAAGTGCATGGTTGAGCAGGAGTAGTACAAGTGAATACCCTTGTCTTATTCCTATTATTAGGGGAATGATTTCAGTCTTTTGTCATCGAGTATAAGGTTAGCAGTGAGATTATATAAGTGTCCTTTATTCTGTTAAGGAAGTCTTCTGTTCCTAATTTTCTGAGTGTTTTTATCAAGAAAGAATATTCTATTCTGTAAAATGCTTTTTTTGTATATTAATTGAAATAATCATGTGACACTTTTCTCATATCATTTTATTAATGTGGTGGTGTCTTACATTGATTATCATGTGTTTACCCTTATATTTCTGGGATAAATCTTACTTGGTTATGGAGTATAATGCTTTAATATACAATTGTATCCAGTTTAGTAGTGCTTTGTTGAGAAGTTCTGCACTTATATTTACTATTAGTGTGTATTTTCCCTTTTCCTGTTGTGTGTTTTTCTGGCTTTGGTATCTAGGTAACACTGGCCTGACAGAATAAGTCATGTTTTCTCTTCTTCATTTTTGGCAGAGTTTGAGAGGGATTGGTGTGATCTTTTTCTTAATGTTTGGTAAAATTCACCAGTGAAGTCATGTTCTTGGACTTTTCTCTATTAGATTTTAGTATCTGCAGTTTCTTAACCTGTAGTTAATGTCAGTGATGCCTGAAAATGTTTCAGTGGCCTAGGATGCTGGAGGTTGTGCAGCTGCTCTGCTAAATTACGTGAAGCCTGTTGACTGGGGGCAGGGTTCCTGTAAAATCATGCCAGAAAACCAAAGAGAAGCAAGTATGTCTTACCACATCAGAGAGGGAGAGGCAGTGAGAGAGCAAAAGGGGAAGTGCCACACACTTTCAAACAACCAGATCTTGTGAGAACTCACTCACTGTCATGAGAATAGCAAAGGGGAAGTCAGGACCCATGATTCATTCACCTCCCACCAGACCCCTCCCTCGACACTTGGGAATTACAGTTTGAGATGAGATTTGGGTGGGGACACAAAGTAAGCCATACCACTTATATTGGATAAAATAAAACTTCAAATAAAAACTGTAAAAAGAGACAAAGGTGGTCATTATACAATGATAAAAAGGGCAACTCAGCAAGATAATGTAATAATTATAAACGTATATGCACCCAACACTGGAAAACCCACATACATATAAAGGATTTTATTAGATCTAAAAAAATTCAATAAAATACTAGGATCCTTCAACACCTCACTTTAAGCAATAGATAAATCATCTACAGAGGAAATCAAAAAAGAATCATCTTATTTAAAATGCACTGTAGATTAAATTGACCTAATAGACATTTACAGAACATTCTACCCAGTTTTCTGGGTAGAATACACATAGCTGCAGAATACACATCCTCATAAGTAAATGCAACTTTCTCCAGATCATATCTTAAGCCACAAAATAAGTCTTAATACATTAAAAAAAAAAAAACAAAGCCATAATAAGGATATTTTCTGACCATAATAAAATAAGTTAGAAATCAATAACAGAAAGAACTTTGAAAACTATGCAAATGCATGGGAAGTAAACAACATACTTCTGAACAATGAATAGGTCAGTGAAGAAATTAAAGAATAAAATTTTTTAAAAAAATATACTTGAGACAAATACAAATAAAGCACAATGTACCAACAACTTAAAAGTAAGAGTAATTATGGGATAAAGTAAAAAGTTTTAAGAGAAAAGTTTATAGTGACACATGCCTACACCAAAAGTTAGAAAGATCTCAAATAACCAAATGTTGCACCTCAAAGAACTAGGAAAACAAGAATAAACTAACCAAAATTTCTAGAAATAAACAAATAATAAATAGAAAAACAGAAATAAATGAGACCAAAAATACACAAGATTAACAAAATGAAAAACTTACTTTTTGAAAAGAAAAAGAAAATTGAGAAACCTTTAGTTAGGTTAACTGAAGAAAAAAAGAGAGAAAATTCAGATATATAAAATCACAGATAAAAATGAGAAATTACAAATCATACTATATAAATACAAAGAAGCATATGATATTACTGTGAACAACTTTAAATGAACAAATTGGAAAACCTAGAGGAAATGGATAAATTCCTGGGCACACAAAATCTACCAAAATTGTGTCATGAAGAAATAGAAAATCTGAACAGATCAATAATTAGTAATTAGGTTGGGTTAGTAATAGTATGTCTTTTATCAAAGAAACACCGAAGACCTGATGGCTTCATGGCTGAATTCTATTAAACATTTAAAGAAGAACTAATACCAATCCTTTGCAAACTATTCCAAAAATCAAAGAAAAAGGAAGTCTTACAAACTCATTCTATGAGATTAGCATTACCTTAAAAGCAGAACCAGAGAAGAATACACATAATAAAGAAAACTATAAGCCAATACCTTTGATGAACATAGATGCAAAAACCCTCAACAAAATCCTAGCAAACCAAATTCAATGGCAAATTTAAAAAATATGTACTCACCATGATCAAGTGAGATTCACCCTAGATATGCAAGGATGTTTCAACATACGCGAATCAGTAAGTGTGATACATCACATTACAGAATCAAGGACAAAAGCTGTATGATCAGTTCAATAGGTATAGAACAATATTTGATAAACTTCACATCCCTTCACTATAAAATCTCTCAAACAAATTAGGTTTGAAGGAACACACTCAATACGATAACGGCCATATATGACAATCTTATATCTAATGCCACCTGAGTAAGAAAAAACTGAAAGCTTCTCTAAGATCTTGAGCAAGAAAAGGATGCACACTCTCACTGCTTTCATTCAATACAGTATTGCCAGCGCTAACCAAAGCAATGAGGCAAGATAAATAAATATACAGCATTCAAATTATAAAGAAGAAAGTCAAATTGTCTTGTTTGCAGACCACATGATTATATATGGAAAATCCAGAAGACTCCACCAAAAAATTGTTAGAACTAATAAATAAATTCAATAAAGCTGGAGGATATAAATTTACTAAATACAATTAGTCATGTTTCTATTATCAAAAGTGAACTACCTGTAAAAAATTAAGAAAGCAGTCTTATTTATAACAGCTACCAAAAATTAAAATGCTTAGAAATAAATGTAACCAAGGGGTAAAAGATCTCTACAATAAAAACTATAAAACATTGATAAAGGAAATTGAGGAGGACATGAATAAATAAAGATGCACCATGTTCATGGATTAGAAAAACTACTATTATTAAAATGTCCATACCACTGAAAGCAATCTATAGATTCAATGCAATTCCTATCAAAATGCCAATGACATTCTTCACAGAAAAAAAAAAATCCTAAAATTTGCATGGAACCACAAAATACCCTAAATGAAAGCAATCCTGAAAACAAAAGCAAAAACAGAAGCAAAATACAAAAGTACAAAGCTGGGGCATCATGTTACCTGATTTCAAGATACACTAAAAAGCAATAGTAGCCCAAGTAGTATGGCATTGGCATAAAAATGGACACACAGACCAATGGAACAGAATAGAAAATACAGATAAAACTCCATGCACTTACAGCCAACTAATTTTTGACAAAGTTGCCAAGAACAGGCATTAGGGAAAGGACTGTCTCTTCAATAAATGGAGCTAGGTAAACTGGATATCAGCATGCAAAATAATAAAAAAATCCCCTTATCTCTTACCATTTAAAAAAATCAACTGAAAATAGAGCAAAAATGTAAATGTTAAGACAAAAACCTATAGAACCACTAGAAGAGAAAAAAGGAGAAAGCTTTATGACATTCTTCTTGGTAAGGATTTTTTGGATAAGAACTCAAAGAACAGGCAACAAAAGGAAAAGAGAAAAATGGGATCACATCAAAGTAAAAAGCTTCTGCATAACAAAGGAGACAACACAGTGAAGAGGTAACCTATTGAATAAGAGAAAACATTTGCAAATTACAAACCTGACAAGGGGTCAATATCCAAAATACATTAAAAAATCAAACAATTCCATAGCAAAAACATTAAAAAATGAAAGCCAAACAATTTGTTTAAAAATGAACAAAAGACATGAATAGACATTTCTCAAAGATGAACAAATGTTCAACATGTGTATAAAAAAGTTCAATCATCAAAAAAATGCAAATCAATACTACATTGAGTATCACCTCTACCTAAAATGAATGGCTATTATCAACTAAAAATATAACAAAAGCTGATATGGATGTGAAGAAATGGGAACACATATGCACAGTTGGTTGGAATATAAATTAGAACAGCCGTTATGGAAAACATGGAAGCTTCCCCAAAAATTAAAAATGGAACTACCGTATGATCCATTGGTGCTACCACTGGGAATGCATCCAAAGATAAAATCAGTATGTCAAGGAGAGACCTTACTATTTTTATTTTATTGCAGCACTATTCATAATATCCAAGATACGGAATCAACCCAAGTATCCATCAATGAATGAATGAATGAATAAAAATTAAAAATAGAACTACCATATGATTTATTAGTGCTACTACTGGGAATGTAATCACAGATAAAATCAGTATGTCAAGAAGAGACCTGTAGTATTTTTATTTTATGGCAGCACTATTCATAATATCCAAGATATGGAATCAACTCAAGTATCCGTCAATGAATGGATGAACAAAGAAAATGTGGTAAGCAATAGAATACTATTCAGCCATTACAAAAAATGAAACCTTCTCATTTATGGCAGGATTTAGTATTTCAAGTGTTGCTGGACTGAAGGCCTCAATTGATTTCTGGTTCTTGGCTGAGACTTCTTCAATTCCTTGTCAGGTGAGCTTCTCCATAGGGGAACTAGCTTCGTCACAGTAATCAAGTGATAGAGCAAGCGAGTGAGAGAAAGTCAACACAATGTAAGACAAAGTCTTTGGTAAGTTAATTTTAGAAGTGACACTCCACCATCTTTGCTATAACTTATTTGTTAGAAAAATGTCACTACATGAGCCCACACTAAAGAAGAGGTGATCATGGAAAGTCATGAATGCTACAATGCATGATTCATTGGAAGACTGAAAGCTTTTTCAGAAGCTACCAAACACAGCATAGTATATTTTCAAAGTACCATGTTAGCCATAATCACAAAGCCTCTCCAAGCTATATTAAATTTACATATTAAATAAACTAGCATTGGGATTTTCATCAGAAGGTACATTATATATATGCAAGTATTGCATTAGTCTTTTGCATAGTATGACTAAGATTATTAGAAAATTTTAATGTACGATAAAAATAATTACTTTGGTAGTGTTACCAGAAAAAATTATATCATTATAAAATAGATTAATAGATTCAGAAGGAATTAGACAGCATTTCTCAATAGAATATTCTCTAATGAACTTGAGTTGTGTAGATTAATTAAATGTTTTCATTATCCAGGCAGCCAAATGAGGTCCAAATATTCAGAATGTACCATTTCCATGCCTAAATGTCCTTGAAGAATGTTTATTGTTTAGGGAGCCCTCGATATTTCATTAATTTAACTTATTTTGCAGAATATATGAACACCAAATTATGCATTCTGAAAGACTGTTGGGAGGGTCAGAATTCTGTATATTAAAAATCAAATAATTTGTGGCAACCATATGAAATATCTACCAAGAAAAATGAGTTTCTTCATTGAAACAAGTGCTCCTTTGAGGGAGTTTGACACAATTGACTATATTAATTAGTTTTTTAAAAAACTCAATTATTTTAATTAAATTTTTATTATTAAAATAAATTATGTATATGATATAAAATTTTTAAATGTTCAGCTGTATAGAAAGTTGAAACTTATATTATCACTTTATTCGAACTCCATATCTCATTCTCCAGAGACAAGTAATATTTATGGCATGTGATTCCCTTCATTTGCTATGCCAAATCTATTTATTTATGTGGGTTTGTATGTGGGATGGGATGCATAATTTTTTCTCCTTAATAGGGTCATAATTTAATACTACCTGACACATTTGATTTCTCTTAATGATGTTTTGAATATATTACCATTCACGTGTATGTGTGTATATGTATAATCTCTATTATTTTCTATTTTTATACATTACATTCCATTGCTTCAGAGTATTTTACATATTTAAGTATTTTCATAAGCATCAGTAATTGTTTTCCATTAATATATGAATGCTGTGATGAATATACCTACTTATACTCATTTGCTCTTTTGTGTATATATATATATATATATATATATATATATATTTAACTAGAAATGAGAAGTGCTATGTAAATCTTTAAACTTGGATAGACACTTCCAAGTAGTCTTAAATTTTTTGTGTCTAATTGTATTCCCATTCACTTCTTTGAAGGCATGTGTTTTCTTACACCTTGACAACATAGTATGCTGTTCATTTGTCAGATAAAAGTTGATATCATCTTACTGTTTTCATTTTCAGTGTTTTAATAAGATCATACATGTTAATGTGTTTGTTTTCATTTATATTTTGTCTCTTAATTGTGACCGCATAAATTTAACGATATTTCTCTCATTTTAAAGCATTTTCTGTACAATAAGGAAATAAGCCTGTGTTGAACATGTGCTGCAAATTTCTCTAGTTGCTTATTTATGACTTTTGTTTTGTCAAGGTACACCTATCTATCTATCCACCAATGAAGCAATATGGTTTGGTTTTGTTTTGGGGTTTATGGAAAGCTCACATAGATATATTTCTATGTGGATTATTATTTTTAAATGACATATTTATATTTTATTTACATTTCTTGTATTTAGAGTTCATTTAAGTGAAGAGTATACTTAACTTCCACATTTTCCACTCACTTATACAACAATATTTTTATCACCAATATTATTCAATTGTTCTAAAATATATTTCTGGAAAACATTTTATTGTTTTCCCAATGTTTGAAATGTTACTATTAACTTCTAGATAACTTCTAAAGATATATATTTCTCTATAAGTATTATGTTCATCTTTATCTATCTTCCATGAACA